>NC_000023.11:79129208-79432238 GCF_000001405.40 Homo sapiens | reverse complement strand
GGATGAACCTAGAGGACATTATGCTAAGTAACATAAGCCAGTCACAGAAAGACAATTACTGCATGCTTCCACTTATATAAGATAGCTATAATAGTTAAACTCACAGAAGCCATTTCAGTTACACAAAATAAAGTACTTCTAAAGATCTACTGTAGAACACAGTGCCTACAATTACAACACAGTATTGTGTACTTCAAATTTTTTTAGAAGGGTAGATCACATGTTCTTTTTTTTTTTTTTTTTTTCTTTTTTTGAGATGCAGTCTTGCTCTGTTGCCCAGACTGGAGTGCAGTGGTGTGATCTCGGCTTACTGCAACCTCCGTCTCCTGGGTTCCAATGATTCTCCCACCTCAGCCTCATGAGTAGCTGGGATTACAGATGCGTGCCACCATACCCGGCTTACTTGTTGTATTTTTAGTAAAGGCTGAGTTTCACCTTGTTGGCCCGGCTGGTCTCGAACTCCTGACCTCAAGTAATCTGCCCTCCTTGGCCTCCCAAAGTGCTGGGATTACAGGCATGAGCCACTGCACCTGGCCAGATCACATGTTCTTATCACAAACAAACAAACAAACAAACAGAAAAGAGACACGAGAAAACTTTGGGAGGTGTTGGATATGTCTATTACTTCGATTGTGGAGATAGTATCATGGGTGTTTGCATATGTCCAAATTCATCAAATTATACACAATAAATGAGCATAGTTTTTTTGTATTCAATCATTTTTCAATAAAGCTATTTTAAAAAGAAAAAACTAAATAAATAGATAAATGAAGAATCTGAATAAATAGATATATAATGTACAGAGAGTAAATAACTCATTATGTTTAAGACACTGATTCTCCTCAAATGTCCTAGAGATCTAATGCAATCTCAATTACAGTCTCAGTAGGTGTTTTCATGATAGCTTATAGGTGATTGTAAAATTTATCTTAAAACAGAGGAACAATTCCAGGATGTGATCGAGGTAAAAGATCAAAGTGGAAAGACTTATACTATAAAATATCAAGACTTATTACACAGCTACAGTAATTAAGACAGCATGGCATTAACATGAAGACATATTATAGGAAAAAATCCTAAAATCCATATATAAGCCACCATTTATATAACAATCTGATAAACAACAAATATGCCACTACTCTTGGGAAAATATAATTTTTTTTTAATAAATGATACTAAATCAATTGTCTATCTCCATGGAAAACTGTCAATTTTAATTTTACTCACACCACACGCAAAAACTAATTTGAAATGGATCATAGATCTAAATATGAAAGAAAAAAATTATAAAGCTTGTTGGAAAAAACATAAGAAAATATCACAGAAAATTCAATTACCAGTAAATATTTATATTTTCACTTTCTTAAAATTACAAATATCTATTCCTTTAAAAAAATTTTAAGAGAGTAAAAAGACAAGCCACAGACTTGAAATAGTTATTTGATGCATAGCATTGATATAGATATAGATATCTGATGATGAACTAAAATTCTGAATATATATAAATTTAAAATCTCCTACAAATTAATAAGAAAAAGAGAATAGAAGTGGCACGAATGTATATCCTTGTCTTGTTGCTGATTTTAGAGGAAAAATGTTTAGCTTTCACTGTTGAGCATGTTGTTATCTGTGGGCTTGGCATATGGGCTCATTATTATGTTGAGGTACATTTCTTTTATTACTTAATTAGTTGAGAATATTTATTAAAAATTCTGAATTTTCTCAAAGACATTTTCTTTATTAAGTTGATCATATGATGTTTATACTTCATTCTTGTATATCACATTTATTCTGAATTCCAGGAATAAATCTCACTTGATCATAGCATGTTATTCTTTTAATGAGCCAGTGAATTCAGTTTGCTAGTACTTGTTGAGAATTTGGCATCCATATTTATCAGGGATAGTAGCCTCTAGTTTTCTTTCATCATAGTGTCCTTTTCTGGTGTGACACTGGCCACATAGAATGAGTTTTAAAGTGTTCCATACTCTTAAATGTTTTGGAGGAGTTTGAGAAGGATTTACATAAATTTTTATTTAACTATTTGGTAGAATTCACCAGTGAAGCCATTTGTTCCTAGGATTTTCTTTGTTGGGAGGTCTTTGGTTAGTGATCCAATCCCCTTACTCATTATTGATCTTTTCAGAGGAAGCCCTAGCCAGAGCAATTAGGCAAGAAAATAAATAAAAGTCATTAAAATTAGAAAGGGAGAAACAACATTTTCTCTGTTTTTAGGTGACATAATTCTATACACAAAATAACCCTAAAATCTCCTGCAAAAATTGTTATAACTAATAAACAAATTCATTACATTTGGATTCAGCAAATCAACATCTAAAAATCCATTGTGTTATATACCCTAACAATGAACTTTGAAAAAAACAATTAAGAAAGCAATCCAGTTGATAATAGCATCAAAATAATAAACTAAGATAAATTTAACAAAGGAGATCCAAGACTTGTACACAAAAATCTGTAAAACATTGATGAAAAAAGTACATACAAGTAAATGGAAAGATATCCTGTGTTCAAGCATTGGAAGAATTACTATTGTTAAAATGCCTATATTACCCAAATCATTCAACAGATTCAATGCAATCCCTATAAAAATTCCAATAACATTTTTCATATAAATAGAACCATAAAAAACTCTAACTAGCCAAAGTAATCTTGAGTGAAAAGAACAAAGCTGAAGGCATCACACTTTTTTATTTTAAATTATATTACAAAGCTATGGTAATCAAAACAGTAGAGTCCTTGCATAAAAACCAAACATCTAAACCAAAGGAAAAAATAGAGAGCCCAGAAACAGACCTATTAATATACAATCAACTAATTTTTATCAAGAGAGCCAAGAAAATGCAATGGAGAAAGTTCTCTGCAATAAATGGTACTGGGAAAACTATCCATATTCAGAAGAATAAATTAGACTCTTACTTCATACATAAAAATTAACTCAAAATAAATCAGACTGAAATGTAAAGCCTAAAACTGTAGAACTCTTAAAAGAATATGTAGGAATAAAGCTTCTTGACATTAGTCTTTGCAACAAATTTTTTTTGGATATGACTCCTGAAACACAAGCAACAAAACCAACAATAAACAAGTCAAAACTAAAAAGCTTCTGCACAGTAAAATCAAGTCAACAAACTGAAAAGGTAACCTATAGAATAGAAAAAAATGCAAATTCATACAACTGAACAACCAAAAAACTCACAATCCAATTAAAAATCAGCCAAAGAACTCAAACAGACATTTTTTCAAAGAAGACATACAAATGCCCAATGCAAATATGAAAATGTGCTCAACATCCCCAATCATTAGGAAAATGTAAATCAAAATCACAATGAGGTATTACATCACACCTGTTATTATGGTTATTATTTTCTAAATGATATGAAAAAATCTGTTGACAAAGATGTAGAGAAAGTGAACCTTTGTACACTATTGGTGGAAATGTTACTGGTACAGCCATTGTGGAAAACACAATGAAAATCCCTTAATAAATTACAAATAGAACTACCATATGATCCAGCAATCCTTCTTTTGAATATATATTCAAAAGAATTAAAATCAAGATCTCCAAGAGATATCTGCACTTTCATCTTAATTGCAGTGGTATGCGTAAAAGCTATGATATGGAAACAACCAAAATGCCTTTTTTTTTTTTTGAGATGGAGTCTCACTCTGTCACCCAGGCTGGAGTGCGGTGGTGTGATCTCGGCTCACTGCAACCTCTGCCTCATGGGTTCAAGTGATTTTCCTGCCTCAGCCTCCCGAGTAGCTGGGATTACAGGCATGAGCCACCACATCTGGCTAATTTTTTGTATTTTTAGTAGAGACAGGGTTCCACCATGTTAACCAGGACGGTCTCGATCTCCTGACCTCATGATCCACCCGCCTTGGCCTCCCAAGGTGCTGGGTTTACAGGCATGAGCCACCATGCCCGACCCAAAATGTCTTTCAATGAATAAATAAATAAATAAATTGTGGTACAGAAATATAATGAAATATTACTAAGCCTGTAAAAAAAGAAAACCCTGATATTTGTAACAAAATGGATGAATCTGGGGAACATTATGTTACATGAAATAAACCATATATAGAAATATAAATATTATATGATCTTAACATGTGATTTCTAAAATAGTCGAACTCATAAAATTAGTGAGTAGAATAATTGTTTCCACTGTCTTCATCCGTTTACTATTGATATAAAGGAATACCTGAGGGTGGATATTTTACAGAGAAAAGAGGTTTATTTGGCTCACAGTTCTGCAGACTGTACAAGAAGCATGGCACAAACATGTGCTTCTGGTGAGGACTACAGGCTGCTTCCAGTAATGGCATGTGCAGTGATCACATGGTAAGAAAGGAAGCAAGAGACAGGGAAAAAATGTTCCAAGCTCCTTTTAAAAACCAGCCCCGGCCAGGCACAGTGGCTTACACCTGTAATCCCAGCACTTTGGGAGGTCAAGGTGGGCAAATCACGAGGTCAGGAGTTTGAGACCAGCCTGGCCAACATGATGAAACAACATCTCTACTAAAAATACAAAAAAATTAGCAGGCGTGATGGCAGGCACCTGTAATTCCAGCTACTTGGGAGGCTGAGGCAGGAGAATCACTTGAACCTGGGAGGCAGATGTTCCAGTGAGCCGAAATCACGCCACTGTGCTCTAGCCAGAGCAACAGTGTGAGACTCCATCTCAAAAAAAAAAAAAACAAAACAAAACAAAAACAAAGCAAAACAACAAAAAACAAAGCAAAACAAACAAACAAACGAACAGCCCCCATGGGAACTAATAAAGTGATAACTCACTCATTACCTTGAAGATGGCACCAAGCCATTCATGAGGATTTTGCCCCCATTACCCAATTATCTCCACTTATGACTCATCTTCAAAATTGGTGCTCAAATTTCAACATGAGTTTTGGGATTCAAATGTCCAACCTAGAGCGTCCAGGGTCTAGGAGGGAGAAATTTGGACATGATGGGTCAAAGGTACAAAGATATAGCTATGCAAGAAAATAAGTTCTGAAGATCCACTTCCTAGCACAGTGCTTATAAGTAATAATGCTGTATTGTATGCCTAAAATTTGCTAAGTGGATATATTTTATGTCAAGTGTTTCTACATGAAAAAATCCCCAATAATAACAATAAAAGGGGATGGCAGGAAATTCTGAGAGGTGATGGATACGTTTATGGCTTTGATAGTGGTGATGGTTTCACAGTTGTACACAAACTCACTGAGGTGTATACATTAAATATGTACAGCTTTTTATATGTCAAGCATAGCTTAATAAAATAGTCTAAATAAAAAAGGCAAAAGATACACTTCCAATTTTGAGGTATACAAAAGACTTGAAAGAACATTTAAAAAAATATATAAAATGGTAAAACCACCTTTGAAATCTCTTTTGTAGTATCTAACAAAGCTGTATATTCGCTTTTTACTCACAAGTTTTACTCCTAGGTATATAATCAAAGGAAAGGAGTATTTGTGCCCACCAAATACTTATATGAGAATCTCCACAGAATCATCGTTCAGAATCATCCCCAAATTAAAAATAATCCAAATGCACATTACAAAAAAATAGAAAAATAAATGATATATTAATATTAATCAAATAGTACAGAATAATAAAAATAGCAAAATGCTTATACATTTAAAAACATGGTTGAAGCTCACAGACATAATTATTAGCAAATATAGCCATATCCAAAAGAATACATACTATATGATTCATTTACAGGACATAAAGTGTGATTACCTCCTTGGGATATACTGACAGAGTGGACACAAGGAAGGCTTTCGGGAGACAGAATTGTTCTATGACTTAAGTTGGGTTGTTGCTACACATGTAAGCATTTATTAAACTAAGTATTTAAGATTTGTACTATTTCAATATGTGCTTTTATTTAATTTTTTTAAAATATGAAAATAACACAGAGCTCTTCTTGGAAGACTATTAAAAAGGGTTTAAAAAGATAACATTGACACTATTAGTGGCATATGGCTGGGGCTCCACAAATATTGCTTTCTTTACCATGAAGGAAAATGCTAAAATATTAATCTTTGGGGCAAATTCAATCATAATAAGGCTTTGTTAATGTCAAAACTCAGGCCATCCACCCCTCAGGAAGAAAGATCTCATGAAGATAAAGCCAAGAACACAGCTGAAGTGTTTAGGCTTGATAACTAACCGAATTCTAGCCTGACCTCAGTATCAGCTGGAGTATTGTGACCAGATATCTTTGGGAATAATGTAAATGATGTTTTCTCTGTCTCAAAGTAATCTGAAATCATTAGGCTCTCTGGGTGCTTTTATGTGAAAGGAGGGTAAAGCTAGAAGTTTGGTCTTAAATATCTTCAATTCAGATGTACAAGTTTTCCATTAAAGAAGATAGTCATTCATTTATCTATTTATAAAGCCTGACCATGCTCATTATGTGCCACAGTCCTAGTTTGTCAGCACTAGAACTAAGGGTGGCAGCAGAAACATTTGGAGAAATAGTTAGAAGCCAGGACAACAAAGGCGGAAAAATATGAAAAAATTACTGATTTCTGTTAGGTCGTTGAATCACGAAGCATACAGGTAATCAGGAGATGTATGAAACATGTACATCTTAAATATCAAGATAAAACAAAGACTCAGAAACAAACTATAAAAGTAAAAGGCAGGAGACATAGAGAGACCAAGTCAATGACCAGAATATATTTGAATTTACTAAGGGTTTTCTGGAGATGAATCTTAACCCAATGTGATGGTTAATACTGAGTGTCAACTTGATTGGATTGAAGGATGCAAAGTATTGATGCTGGGTGTGTATGTGAGGGTGTTGCCAGAGGAGATTAACATTTAAGTTAGTGGGTTGGAAAAAGCAGACCCACACTTAATTTGGGTGGGCGCCATCTAATCAGCTGCCAGTGTGGCCAGGATATAAAGCAGGCAGAGAAAAAAAAGGGAAAAGGCTAGACTGGCTTAGCCTCCCAGCCTATATTTTCCTCCCATGCTGGATGCTTCCTGCCCTTGAACATCAGACTTCAAGTTATTCACCTTTATGACTCAGATTGACTTTCTTGCTCCTCAGCTTGACTTTCTTGCTCCTCAGCTTGCAGAGGGCCTATTGTGGGACCTTGTGATTGTGTGAGTTTAATACTCCTTAATAAATTCTCCTTTATATCTAGATAGATAGATAGATAGACAGATAGATGATAGATAGATAGATAGGTAGATAGATAGATCGATAGATAGATATCAGGGGAACCAGCCCCCAATATTTCAACGTAGGTTCTTTTCTATTTTCCCTAAGTGTCAGCCAGTCTGAGAAATAAAGAGAAAGAGTACAAAGAGAGAAATTTTACAGTTGGGACTCTGGGGGTGACATCATGTATTGGCAGGTTCCGTGATGTCCACCTGAGCCGCAAAACCAGCAAGTTTTTATTAGGGATTTTAGAAGGGGAGGGGATGTACGAACAGGGAGTAGGTCATAAGGATCACATGCTTCAAAGGGCAATAAAAGATCACAAGGCTGAGGGCAGAGCAAGATCACAAGGCAAGGGTGAAATTAGAATTACTGATGAGGGTCCATGTCCCGCTGGGCATGCATTGTCTTGATAAACATCTTAACAGGAAACAGGGTTTGAGAGCAGACAACCGATCTGACTAGAATTTACCAGGCTGGAATTTCCCAAGCCTAGTAAGCCTGAGGGCACTGCAGGAGACCAGGGCATATTTCATCCCTTATCTCAACCACATAAGACAGACACTCCCAGAGCGGCCATTCATAGACCTGCCCCCAGGAATGCATTTCTTCCCCAGGGTTATTCCTTGCTGGGAAAAGAATTCAGTGATATTTCTCCTACTTGCTTTCTGCAAGAAGAAAAATATGCCTCTATTCTGCCTGACCCCACAGGCAGTCAGACCTTATGGTTATCTTTCCTCGTTCCCTGAAAATCGCTGTTATTCTGTTCTTTTTCAGGGTGCACTGATTTCAGATCGTTCAAACACACATGTTTTACAAACAATTTGTACAGTTAACACAATCATTGTATGGTCCTGAGGTGACATACATCCTCAGCTTAAGAAGATGACGAGATTAAGAAATTAAAGTAAAGACAGTCATAAGAAATTATAAGAGTATTGATTGGGGAACTGATAAATGTCCATGAAATCTTCACAATTTATGTTCTTCTGCCACAGGTTCAGTCAGTCTCTCTGTTCGGGGTCCTTGACTTCCCACAACAGATAGATAGATAGATAGATAGATAGATAGATAGATAGATAGATACATAGAAATAGAGATATCCTATTAGTTTTTTCCCTCTAGAGAACCTGGAATAATATACCCAAAGAGTTAACGTTCTAACTGGGGGCTTTTTTTTTTTCATAAGATAACGTGATGTTACTTGGAGACTATCTGGTATAGATAGGAACTTCTCATCACATCACATAAACAAGTACCTATTATATACACATATAAGATTGGATGTTCCCTTGGTGAACAAATTCTTCAATTGTGATGGCCCTATATTACTTGAACAGTACAACAGTCCTTAGGTTTTTCACCCTTCACTTTCAGAGCCAAAGTCCATTCCATAGACTTAGACATAGTTTCTATCACAACTTACATGGTAGAAATTAGCAGGATAGATACAAAAACATTTATATGGCGTCTATGAGAGACTCAATTTTGTTAAAAATAAATAATAAAAGTGAAAGGTTAGCAAAGGTATTTCATAGCAATAGTAACAAAAACAGAGATAGGGATCTATACTGATATGAGACAAAATATACTTTAAATCAGAAATTATTATAAGAGATGATGATGGATGTTATAAATTAATAGAAGGGAGGATCCATCAAGAAGATACAACAATTATAAACATGCCTGTGGAATAATGAAGCCACCAAATATCCGAAACAAAGTATGACAAAATTGAAAGAAAAATTAAGACAATTCTGCACTAACGTTAGTTTGGGAACTTCATCACTCCCCTTACAATAATGAATAGAACAATTAGACAGAAGATCAATTAAAAGACAGAATATTTTGAGGAACACTATAAACCAACTAGATATTACAGACATACATGGGACACTCTAACAACAACATGGAGACATTCTTTTTAAATATACATGAAACATTCTTCAGGATATGCCTTATATTTGGCCCCAAACAAATCTCAATACATTTTAAAAGATTTAAGTCATTTAAGTTATCCTCTCCAACCACAATGGAATGAATCATGATATTCATTAGAAAAAGAAAAAATGGAAAACAAAACCCACAAATATGTGGAAATTAAACAATAGACTCTTAAACAATCAATGGGTCAAGTAACAAATAGCAAGATAAATTTTTTACAATACCAGAAGACAAATGAAGGATGCAAAGTATTGATCCTGGGTGTGTCTGTGAGACAGCAAATTTAATATTATGAGATACAGCAAAAGCAATGCAAGAAAGATATTTATAACTGCAAATGTTTACATCAAAAAAGAAGAAAGCTTTCAAGCCAGCAACCTAACACTACAACTTAAGAAACTAGAAAAATGAAGAACAAATGAATCCCATGGCTAAAAGAAGGAAAGAAATAATGAAGATTGGACTGGCGAGAAACTAAATAGAAAATAGAAAAACAATAAAGAATGTCAATGAAAACAAAAATTGGCTTTTAGAAAATAATAATAAAATTGACAAAACTTTACCTGGACACACCAAGAAAAAAATATAGAAGACTCCAATTACTAAAAGAAGAAATAAATATGGGAACATTATTATTGACATAAAAAGTTTTAAAAGATTATAAAAATTACTATGAAAATCTGTACACTAACAATTGCCTAATTAAAATGAACAAATTCTTAGAAACACGCACACACTATTAAATTGAGTCAAAAAGAAATTGAAAGTCTGAATAAATATATAGTAAGTAAAAATATTGAATAAGTAATCATAAAATTACCAATACAAAAAGAGCCAGATGGTTTGACTGTTGAATTCTTCCAAAAATGTAAAGAAAAATTAACAATTGTTTTCAAACTCTTCCAAAAAAATAGAAGTTAAGATAACACTTGCCAATTCATTCTATGAGGCCATTATTACCCTGAAGCAAAACCAGACAACAGAATCATAAGAAAGAAAATTATAGACCTGTGTTCATTATGAATGTAGATGCAAAAATCCCTAACAAAATTCTAGCAAACCCAATCTATCAACACATAAAAATAATTTGATGACTCATGCCTGTAATCCCAGCACTTTGGGAGGCTGAAGGGGAAGGATCGCTAGAGCCCAGGTGCTCAAGACCAGACTGGGCAACATGGCAAAACCCCATATCTACAAAAACTACAAAAAAAAATTAGTCAGGCATGGTGGCGCATATCTGTTGTCCCAGCTACTTGAGATACTGAGGCAGGAGGATCACCTGAGCCTGGGAGTTTGAGGCTGTAGTGAGCCATGGTCACGCCACTGCACTCCAGCCTGGGTGATGGAGTGAGACCCTGTCTCAAAAATAATAATAATAGTAATAATTAGCTACCATAACCAAGTGTGATTTATCCTGCGAATGCAAAGTTGTTTTGATGCACAAAAGTCAATCATAGGAATGACGCTTTTGAACAAAAGCATATGATAGTCTAAATTGGTAAAAAAAAAAAAAAAAAGATGTTTGACCAAAAAGCAACACATTTTATAATATTGACAAATTGGAAACACAGCAAAAAGACAAACAATCCAATTTTCAAGTAAAGGAAAGAATTTGAATTAACATTTCTCTAAATAAGATAATCAAATAATCAATATGCACATGAAAATATGCTAAGCGTTATTTGTCTTTAGGGAAATGCAAAGTAAAACAATGAGATACCACTTCACACCTACTGGGATGGCCATGTTAAAAAAATAACAGAAAATAACAATGGTTGGTGATGATGTGAAGAAAGTGAAATTCCCATACTTTGCAGGTGGGAATGTAACATGGTGCAACTCCTGTGGAAAATATTTTGGCAGTTCACTAAAAAGATTAAACACAGAAATATGATATGACTCAGCATCTCCACTCTTAGATATGTAACCCCCAAAATTTATACCCTGAAAACAGGAGTTTAACACAAAACTTATATATAAATATTAATAGCAGTACAATTCACAATAGCTAAATGTGGAAAAAATTCAAATGTCCATTAGCTGCTTAATGGCTAAACAAAATGTTATATAATCCACACAATAAAATATTTTTCAGCCATAAAAAGAAATGATACACTGATACATGCTACAACACAGAGAAACCTTCAAAACATAATGGTAAGTAAAACATAGAGAAACCTTCAAAACATAATAAGTAAAAGATGGCAGAAACAAAGAGTCGCATATTGTATGATTCTATTTATATAAAATGCAAATTCATAGTTACAGAAAGATTAGTGGCTGCCTGAGGTTATGGGAAGGATGGAATGGGTGCGATTGCTTAAAGGTTATGGGGTTTCTGTTTCAGGTGATACAAACATTCTTGAAATGGATAATGGTGATGGTTGCATTACATTGGGAATATACTTAGTGCTGTGGACTTGCACACTTTAAAGTAGTTAAAATCGCAATTTGTATGTTATGTGTTTTTTACCATGAAGAATAAACAAAGGATTAGTTTAATATCAGTTGCCCTTTCATAAATTTTTTCTCCGTGTTTACAGAATTGGCTGATTCCAGACAACAACACTTTAAGAGAGACAGATAACAGGACCGACATATTTTATGAGGAATGGATGTTGGACTCTCCTGAGTAGGGCAAGATCACTTCAATACATCAAAATTCTGTGATGACAGGTCTGAACAGCAACCCTCAATGGAAGGAGGAGAAGCATCACTGGGGGACTGTGATATATGATAGGACAGCATGCAAGCCCAAAATATTAAAGATAAATGTCTGGAAAAGAGAGGAGCTACTGAAGATGAACATTCTACTTCCCTGTTTTGCCAAGGACTATCCATGGCAGGATCATATTCTAAAATTATTTACCATTTCCTGAAAAACCACCAAATATTGTGCAACTCACTCCAAGTTAGACATAAGAATTTTAAATCAACCCAAGGATTTATATACCTGCACTCAGAGATTTAGGATTCTGGCAAGTATGGAGAAAAGAGGGATTTCTTTTTTTTTTTTTTACGTTTTTGCAAATCATTCTGTCCTTGCACCCTCCATTATGCCTAGTACTTTTTCTCTATTAGATACTGAAATTATTTTAACAAGCCTTTATGAACTATTCCGCTGTAATTCACATCATTTTAATTAACATATACATAGTGGTCAGTGCATACCAAGACTCTTCTTTGTTTATATTTTAGTTGCTCCTTTCATGTTGCTCTTATAGAAAGCCAGGCCACTAAATCAGTAAAGAATTCAGTTTCTAAATCATGTTTGACTTGAGAGCTACCTTGGAAAATTCCAGTATCCTAATGGCTGCTGGATCTCTACATTAGGGTTTTGGCCTCTGATTCAGACTCATGGGACTTTCAATTCTTATTGCACATTTTGACACATGAAGGCAAAGAAGGCAGCAGAAGTGTGAGAATATATTAACAAGGAAGCACTTAAGCCTAAGAGAAATTAGATGTGGCAGGAATTGAATGTGCAGGAGGAGAAAGTGAAATAATGTGGAAATAAGTTCATAAACTCATAAACTCTATGTTGCCTTATATAAAGTGAATGCAAGTCCAATTTAACATTATTTTACTATTTCTGTATTTCAGGTTCAGTTATCTGAACCTAAAATAAAAAATCAATTAAGTCAATCATTAAGAAAAGACTGGTAAAATGTGCCTGGAAATCTAGGTCTTTGGGGATATTGATTTATAAAACTTCCATAGCAAATCAGTTGGTCCTCACATGTCAAATAATGGTAGGGTAACATAATTTGTAGGCTGAGAAGAGCTGATAAAGTTATTCAAGGGATAAGATACCAGGGAGTACCTTATCAATCTATCCTGAAAATGCCTCTTATTGTAATTTTCACTTGCAGTATTACCAAATTATTATTTTCTTTAAATTAGTGCTCTTTTGTGAGTTTCTCTTCTATAATGTAAATACAATATCTCAAAAGAAAATAATATAAGATGACAACCTATCAGTGGTGTGCTAAACTGGCTCTTAAAGATGCAAGAGACCCCATTGTTTGTATACCTTACAAACTCCCCCTTCAGTACCTTCTCATCAGTAGTTTTAAATCACTCATAGTGGGACATTTATACAACAGAAATCAGCAGACAAATCAAGCTTACTTGAAAACTGGTTCAACCATTATAGCTTCATATCTGTAATTTCAAAAGTTATTTTATGTAGCCTATTTTGCATTTGTTAAAATATAATCTTAAAGAAAAGCTTTCCTTTGCATTACATGTTGTTCTATATACATTTGTTGCAATTACTTGAAGGCACTTTTTGTGTGTTTATTTTTCCTCAAAAGAGACATGAAGATACGGAGGATTATTTTGGCTTGGAGTACACAAAATTTTATGGGTGGTCAGTCTGTTTATTTTGTTTATAACAGAATACCTGAAACTGGGTAATTTATGAAGAAAAGGAATTTATTTATTATAGTTACGGAGACTGAGAAATCCAAGGTTGAGGTGCTGTATTTGGTGAGGGCCTTGTTGCTGGTGGAGACTCTCTGCAGAGTCCCAAGGTGTCACAGGGCATCACATCATGAGGGGACTGATTGTGCTAGCTCAGTTCTCTATTTCTCTTCTTATAAAGCTACAATTACCACATATACATATATATATATATAAAAATTCATACATGGATTAATTCATTAATTCATTAATTAATTCATGAATTCAGAGCCCTCATGACATAATCTTAAACATCGCACCTTTCAAGACTGCCATATTAGGGATTAAATTTAATCATGAGTTTTTGGGGAAGAGACAAGTACTTAAACATGGATCATATGTGGGTTTTATTTGGAAAGACCTTAGACTAGGTGGGTGCTTATGGAATATTGTTTCAAAGACACAGGGGGATTATTGAATGAAAGAAAAAACTCCCACCTATTCACAACTCCTTTTCCTATTCCCTACAGGCTTTTGAGGGTCCAGAAACTTCCCTCCTACTGTGAGAGATTGGGTTACCCATAATACAAACCTAGCACCTCAAATCCGCAAATATTATCTGAAAATCAAATTCAGTAGAAATTTATATTCCTTTGGGTATATACCCGGTAATGGGATGGCTGGGTCAAATGGTATTTCTAGTTCTAGATCCCTGAGGAATCGCCACAAATAAATCATGCTGCTATAAAGACACATGCACACGTATGTTTATTGCGGCACTATTCACAATAGCAAAGACTTGGAACTAACCCAAATGTCCAACAATGATAGACTGGATTAAGAAAATGTGGCACATATACACCATGGAATACTATGCAGCCATAAAAAAGGATGAGTTCATGTCCTTTGTAGGGACATGGATGAAGCTGGAAACCATCATTCTCAGCAAACTATAGCAAGGACAAAAAACCAAACACCGCATGTTCTCACTCATAGGTGGGAACTGAACAATGGGAACACTTGGACACAGGAAGGGGAACATCACACACCAGGGCCTATTGTGGGGTGGGGGAAGAAGGGAGGGATAGCTTTAGGAGATATACCTAATGTAAATGATGAGTTAATGCGTGCAGCACACTAACATGGTACATGTATACGTATGTAACAAACCTGCACATTGTGCACATGTACCCTAGAACTTAAAGTATAATTAAAAATTATTGAAAAAATAAAAAAAAGAAATCGGGAAATGAAGGGGAAGCATGGAGAAAAGGACAAATAGACCCATTATATGTAAACCTTACCACTTATTTTGTTTTTATTTTCTTTCAGGAAGACACTAAAGGCAAAAATTAAAATTCATAAAGAATTCAACTTTTTATCTCTCTTTTAGAAATAGAATAACATTAGGGTTATTACATCTGCAAACATAATTTGGAATCTTTTTTTTTTTTTTGTAGCAACTTGCCTGTATGTTATTCTACACTCAAAGATTCCATTGCTGAGATCAATGGACACATTGCCTGGGTTTGATCACTTGGCATTTTTCGAGCCAAACCAAAGCCTCAAAGTAAATATTTCCTACATAGATCATTTAGGCCACAAATGAAAATGCAAGGAATAGCAGCAGGAAAAATACTGTTTTAAAGTTTCTTACAAAGCATACTGCATGAATTAGTGACTAAAGAATGCAGCCTTCAGGAGACCCTTAAAAAGAAAGGGAAAGGATAGGAGCAGCACTTTAAAATTTTCACCATCTTCAAGTTGTTAAACTCCAAATCCTGCACATTGTCATGTCTCTTCACATGCTAACCAAGCTAACTTTCTGCTGCTTCCCAGACTTATAAATTTCTCTTTAATAGGTTTCCAGGAACCACAGAGAAAGAGAAAGAGTAATATATATCCTCCCTATGTTTAGTTCCAAAAGGAAGAAATCAGCAGTAACTAATCAACCTCTTCATACTATTGTGGTGAAACATAAGTAGAGACGACAGTTTTAGTAATATAATTAATTTTTTCTGAGTAAATTGCCTCTAGGTGACAGATAATTGTGCAAACCACTTTAATGTAGCCATTATGTTTTGGAAGCTGCTCCTTTTTCTATTGCTCAACTGATTCAATCTGTACCTCTGGCTTTCAGAAAATAAGCCCCATTCAGCTAAATTTATAGTCATTTCTGTTTAAGCACACTCCATAATTGCTCAGAGGAGAAACCAAGACTTCTGGCTCTCCATGTCACTTCATTTGATAAACGTGAACTGTTTTTGGAGATTTTTAAAGAATACCCTCCAGTAGTCATGATCAAATGAGGAACCATAGGGTAATGCTGTTCATATAGCCCCTCTATCAACATCTGGTCAGAAAGTAATTCTGCTCCTTTCACAAATAAACAGTGATTTGATAGATTTCCAGACGGAAAGACTAACTTGCAAATTGAAAGTGAGCACAATCACTCATTTACTCAAGCTTTCAATCACATTTATTAAGCGCCTACTATGTGACAGAAAATTGTATTAGATACACATAAAGGTGACATTGTGTGGCAAGGTACAGACTGTCTTTCTGTAGGCAATGTCCAGGATATGGCTGTTTTCCTCACTGTCATTTTTAGAAGACATGTAAGAAGTGTGAAATTCACATATCAAATATGTACAGTCTGTAAATTACTATTAGAGACAAGTCATAAAGTTGTACATAATAAAAAATTAGCATAATATAAAAACTGTACAATTAAAGGTATACTAAAATTGCAATTAAGAATATCATGAAAGCAGCACAACTAACATCAATGATTTAGTAAAAACAAAAGAAAACAGTAACTACTTTTCAGATTATATACTGAACTCAATACATAGCAGAGATGGCATACTTGCTTCTGCTTCCATTGCTATCTTCAGTTCTGATGAATGAAACTGATGTTTAGAAAATGACTCTAAGGTCCTAAGAGTTTATCAGTCAAAAATTCAACCATGGCCACAAGTCTACCTTGAATAAGCTAAGACACATGTTTGTTGAATTTTTTTCTAAGTTTCTAAAGAAAAACAGATTTTAGTAAACTTTTATTTAACCCAAATATAAATTAATTCAATAAAAATCGCTCTATTCTCCAGATACGCTGGCTGACTATGGCACATTAGTTGTATGATTGGTGCCACCCTGAAGGGCCTTCTACCTAGTTTCACCCATCCCTCAGGCTCATCCTCTGGGCCATTAGTCTCTTTTTGAGATTAGGACCTCGACAAGAACTATTAAAATGCAAATGCAAATAGAGGGATAACCCATTAAATCATTACTCATTCAGCAATTATTTAGTGAACATTAATCTGTTAATTATTTGCTAACAGAACCCTGGGAGAATGTGACAATAAAAGCCTAAAGAGCTCTGTTTAATAAAAGGATTGGAGCCTGGGACATTGGCCAGAGAAGGAAGGCTAATGTTGTTCACTGTAGTTTGGATTTTAGGAAGTGGTGGCAGGATCAGATGGAGTGACAGGAAAGCCCAGGGCATAAGAAGGCCTTGAAGGATACTACTGGGGTTTAATGAGTCACAGAAAAAGAGAGGCTGTATTAGATCACCAGCACTTAAAACGTGAAAAGATATAAAATACAGACACCACATAAGAAAAATAGCACTTCCATATGTTGCTGATGGGGTTAAAAATTTATACAGCCAATCTGGAAAATAATTTATTAGTATCAAGTAAAATTGACAATGCGCAGAGCCTACAATCCTGCAATTACACTACAGATATACATTTTATATAAATGCACTATACATAAGGACACATGTACTGGAAGGCTGATATCAGCATTGTTTTTAATGGAAAAAACTAGAAAAAAATTTTCCAGTCAATTGGAGACTAGATAAATATATCTATATAATAGAATGCTAAATAACAATTTAAAGGAATTATATATATACTATAACTATAATATATATAAATTGTTTTGACTGCTATTTAGTATTCTATCATAAATATTTATATATATTTATTCCATATAAATATAGATATATATGTACATACACCAAATAGGTATATATGTAAAATAATACATATGAAACCTGAGACAGACATAACTTTAGAAGTGAGATATGGAATAAATGATAAATCTGGCTTTATAAAAAAAGTAATTGCATTATACAAAGAAAGTTATTTTTTTGTGGATTGTTGGAAATCTGATCACAGGCTAGTATTTGAAAATAACACTTCATGAGAAATAGTTTACTAAAAGAGCATTCATTGTTTAACTGAAATTCTAATTTAATTGGGTTCCCTATATAATTTACTGAATCTGGTAAGCCTAACCTAGGAAGCCTTTGGCAGAGCAGGCCCGGATCTTTAGATACCATCATACTATATATTCTATACTACGGTGTGCACTTGAGGCTATTGTAAGACCTGTGGTTTGGCAAGGACCAGATATATATTTTTATTCTTTTTTTTTTTTTGCATGGCTTAATACGGGGCTCCATACAGCTGATGATATCTGAAGGACATTTATTTCCAACATATGGGTGACGTCACTTTGCAAAAAAGATGATACTTGCTATTTTCATGCACTCGTGAGTCTAGCTTCCCTTCACAGGCTCAGAATCCGTTCCACTAATGCTATCACTTCAAAGGTTTTCCTTAGTAAGTCCTCATTGCATCCCCTACAATAAGATAAGTTTGGTATCTCACTTTGGAAAACGTAATGACTTTCTCTGGTATCCTGCATACACTGTGTTGGGAGCTCATTGTATATGTTGTAATTATCCCAATTTTAATTTAAATTGTAAAAGACACAAGAATGAGGATGTCAAAGTGTCTTACTAAATTTCTCTCTCTTGATTTTTATGCCATAATTTGTTGCGGTTCTATTACTGTTACAAGTGTATTTTTTTTTATTTAAAATGGTGAGAAAATGTAAGAGTTTATTTCCATATGAACAACCCAGGATATCTTAGTTATGGTATCAATTTCTGTGATATGATTATCTATTTACAAAAGTGCCTGAAGAAATTTTAAAATAATAGTTTTGACTTAAATATATAGACAGTACCCAACTTAGGATAGTTAATGGATCAACTTACAATTTTTCAATTTTATCATGGTGAGACAGCAATACACATTCATTTGAAACTGTACTTCAAGTACTCATACGAGCTTTTCATTTGTCGTTTTCAGTACGGTATCCATAAATTACATGAAATATACAGTACTGTATTATAAAATAAGCTTCACGTTAGATGATTTTGCCCAGCTGTAGGCTAACGTAAGTGTTCTGAGCATGTTCAAGGTAGGCTAGGCTAAGCTAAAATGTTCAGTAGGTTTGGTGTATTAAATACATATTCGACTTATGGTATTTTCAATTAACGAAGGATTTATTGGGGAAGTAACTGAATTGTAAGTCAAGGAGCATCTGCACTAAAAAATAAACCGTTTCCATTTTCAAGAGCCTTGAGTTTATTTGGTGTTACCACAAGGGGGCATGTAGAGACCAAATACAAGAATACATTTATAAAAGGTCTTTGATTAAAAAAAAATTTACATTTGTTTTTAAACTGTTTGAAAGGTGATTTATTTCACCACCGGTGTGTTTATTTTGTAAAACACAGTTTCACTGAACATTAGAGTTGGATAAATATTAAGTCATTCCATATTTTTCCCTGAATTTGGAGCTGAGAAAATGGTTTCGTTGTTTTTTGAAACAGCTTAATGCTTTCGATTTGTTGGATGAAGAAAAAAGCTAACAAGGACACTCTACAACTGTCACTTTAACAGGCAGGTATTTCAGAGTGGACAGGAACACCTTTTGTAAAACTGGGTGTCTTAAGGAAACGAAGATATATGAGAGATAATTTTCCTTTTCACTTTTTCATGTAGTGTAGACTTTTTTAGATGATGAAATTTTTTAAATGTCTGTTTAAAAATAATTAACCTTCAATTAATAATAAACAATAAATTTGTACTCCATTGATTATCATTCTTTCCCTCTCTCTCTCCCTCAGAATGAAGCAAAATTTGTATGTGTCAATGAAAATATGAACAATTCTATGCAAAACAGATATAAACAAATCATCTTTTTCATAAATTCATGGAGTGTTACCTTTTAGTCTCTAAACTATTTGCCACAATTCTTCAAGGAAAGAATATTAATTAAAAAAAGGGGGAGGGAAGAAGTCACGACCAAGCAAAACAGAAATTCAAAATAGGAAAAGCTTCCAACAACTATAAAAGCAGATATTTCCCAAGTGAAATATGTTCCATTTGAAATATTATAAAAGCCAATATTCAAGCAAATGGTTTCCAACATTAGGTAATATAAGTTGGAAACAAATTTGGACGTTTATTCTGCATTTCAGCCAGCCCACTATGGAAGTCTGCAGCAGTTCTTTCGTAAGGGTTGTGGGCAGCAGGAGCCAAAGTTGTTGGAGATTACATACAAGGATATGATAAAATAAATAATTATCTCAAACCTATATTTCATTCACATGAAGGATGTGGTAGGCTAAAACAGTTATGAGCTGATATATTGATGTTCTCCTTCTTGCGTCACTTTTAAAACTTCAATTAAAATTGGAATCACTACAATATATACAGTGAGGATTGTGTATAGGAAGCCAGAACAAATAGTTACCAAAACTACCTGCTATACTTTATAACGTGCACAACTGTGTACTCTATGCTCCTTTTGAGTGTGTTGATCTGTTTCATTATAATCTCCAAGTTAGCAAGTTTGGAAATATTGCCTTCCATGTTAAAAAGCTATCTCTGGGCCGGGCGCGGTGGCTCATGCCTGTAATCCCAGCCCTTTGGGAGGCTGAGGCGGGCGGATCACGAGGTCTGGAGATCCAGACCATCCTGGCTAACATGGTGAAACCCCGTCTCTACTAAAAATAAAAAAAAATTAGCCGGGTCTGGTGGCGGGCGCCTGTAGCCCCAGCTACTCGCTACTCCGGAGGCTGAGGCAGGAGAATGGCGTGAACCCGGGAGGCGGAGCTTGCAGTGAGCCGAGATCGCACCACTGCACTCCAACCTGGGCGACACAGTGAGGCTCCGTCTCAAAAAAAAAAAAAAAAAAAAAAAAAAAAGCTATCTCTTTATTGAGTCAACTCATGCATGTATTTAACAAATATTTATAGAGTGTCTACTATGTGCAAGAGAACTGTGCTTTGGGAACAAATATAGAGAAGTATGCCATGATTTCTGTGTGGAAGAAGCTTTTGCAAATCTCAGGGAGAAAGAACACAGAGCCAAGAAAGGCTAAGTCACTGGACAAACAAGAAATATTTTGGAACATTTCAAACAGATAGGAAATGCTATTGGATTTCAGAGAAAGGGTGGAGAAGGGAGATTAAAGAGTACATAATGTGGATTGGCAAGAGAAAGGGTATGAAGAAATCAGTAAACAAAATGAGCATTTGCATGGTGCCTTAGTGACAGAGAATACATCAGTCTCACTGAACTGAAGATTTCATATTGAAAAATAGGGTGCAATAAAATTAGAATGATGAAAGATAGCAAAATAGTTTTTAAAAGTGGGTGACACTCTGTGTCAAATAGAAGATGGAATAACATTAAAGGATTTGGGGCATCACAATGACATATTCACCTAGGAATTTATTTTACCAAGAGGTGCATTTTCAGGGCTGTCTTCATAGTAAAGCCACAATCCTGTTTACATCTTTGGGTGTTTAGTTTAATATCATTATATGGACTAAAATCAGTCCTTATGTTGTTACGATTTGAACAAATTTTCGTTTAATCCAGGAGCAGTAGATGATCCTGGATTTTTCAATAATGAAAAATATAATTATGCTTTTTAAGTGGTTTAGTAGACTTTGTTGAGTTCAATCCAGATCATCCTTAAAGGCCCATTTACCCTTCCTGAAAATGTCATTATTCATAAATTGCTGCTGCTATGCTATGACCTTGATACCAGTATAATTAACTTATATGTAAAGAAACCCAGCAATATATGTTATTTGGGGACCTTGCATGACTTCCAGATGTTCAATACTTTAACACTTTTAGCAGCCAAGACCCTCAGAGGAGTATAGGTTAACTCTCAAAGGGGTGCTTGACGTTAACAAATGAAAGTTGGCCAAATACTTCAAAATACATAAGAAAAAAATAGGAGTAAATTTATGTGACTATTCTCAGTAACCTGACCTTTTCTAAGAAGTTCTATATTGAGATACTGTGCAGTCTGAAGCAGCTTTGGAAATATAAGAAATGTTTAGGGAATGAATAATTTAAAATATGGGTATGTTTCTGGGTCATCAAGCTTCCTACGTTACCAGCACTATCATCTGGCAAAGATAGTAGAGAACATTTTAACATTTGGCAGATAGGGAAGCTGGTGGTTGGGGGCGGGATGTGGATGAAGCTAATGACCTTGAAGATGTTTGCAGCCTGGGATTGGAAA
Source organism: Homo sapiens (assembly GCF_000001405.40). Classification (NCBI taxonomy): domain Eukaryota; kingdom Metazoa; phylum Chordata; class Mammalia; order Primates; family Hominidae; genus Homo; species Homo sapiens. Next base: position 79,410,267 of record NC_000023.11, on the reverse strand, counting down.
TGTGAAAGACTCTAGGATTCTAAAACAAATTGTGCAGTGGCCTTTTGAGAATGAATGTCTCTTTCCAGGTGAAAGTAACTTTTCTGCCTCTGGACCTCCATGGCATTTATTGTTTGTACCACTAGCCTTGCTACAGGTGTGTTTTACTGGTGACATTTTCATTTGTTGCTTCCGTCTTCAACTAGATTGAGAGGTCTTTGGAGATATGTTATGCCTTAAGCTTCTAAAAAAGAATTCAATTCAATTAGTTAAACATCTTTATCTCTTTTACCTTCAAAATATTTTAGTAAGTGTTGCAAGGGATACAAAGATAAATAGGAATCCCTCAAGGAGCTCTCTCTGATCACTATCATTTAACCAGGGATGTAACTAGTGACTAACCCAGAACAAGCAGACCTTAGTTTTACAAGCCAAGCCTAAGGAAATTACTGTCCTAAACCACAACAATAAAAGTCAAAATGTGAATAAATTTGTGACATGCTATAATGAGGTAGACAGACATTCAAAGTTGCCTGGAGTAGTCTGATTTTTATCTCCATGTCCTTTTTTTATTTCTTTCCTTCTTTTTTTATCATTTTGAACTCAGGCAGTACATATGCAGGTTTGTTACATAAGGTATCTTGCAAAGAGCTGGGGTTTGGGCTTCTTTTTTATGTTTGATGTTTTTGCCTTTAATTTCATTTTTATAGTAATATATGACTTCTACTTTAATTTAGTTTGATATTGTTGCCATCCCTCCACTTTAAACTTTTGTGTTATTTTGATTTGAGTATCCTTTTTAGATAGAGTACAACTTTAAAGAAATTTGGTTCTTTAAACCTGATATCTATCTATCTCGTAAAGAGGATTATCCCTAATATTTATATAAAAACAGAACTACTTCAACTCAACTTCTGTCATCTTATTTTCTGATTTTACTTTTCTTTGTTATCTTCAACTTTTTAAAGTTCTGGGGTACATGTGCAGGATATGAAGGTTTGTTACATAGGAATAGTGTGCCATGGTGGTTTGCTGCACAGATCAACCCATCACCCAGCTATTAAGCCCAGCATCCAATAGCTATTCTTCTTTATGTTCTCTCTCCCTGTGCACCCCCGACAGGCCCCAGTGTGTGTTGTTCCTCCTCATGTGTCAGTGTCCTCTCATCATTCAGCTCCCACTTGTAAGTGAGAATATGTGGTGTTTGTTTCTCTCTTCCTGTGTTACTTTGCTGAGAATAATGGCTTTCAGCTTTATCCATGTCCCTGTAAAGGACATGATCTTGTTCCATTTCTGGCTGCATATGGTGTATATGTATGAATTTACACTCCCACCAACAGTGTAAAAGTGATCCTTTTTCTCCAAAACCTTGCCAACATCTGTTTTTTATTGACTTTTTAATAATCGCCATTCTGACTGGTGTGAGATGGTATCTCACTGTGGTTTTCATTTGCATTTCTGTAATGATCAGTGATGTTGAGCTTTTTTTCATGCTTGTTGGCCATATGTACTTTTTTTAGAAGTGTCTGTTCATGTGCTTTGCCCACTTTTTAATGTTTTTTTCTTTGTAAATTTATTTTTTTGTAGACTCTGAATATTAGACCTTTGTCAGATGGATAGATCGCAAAAATTTTCTCCCATTCTGAAAGTTATCTGTTCACTCTGATGATAGTTTCTTTTGCCAAAGCTCTTTAGTTTAATTAGAACCCATTGGTCAATTTTTGCTTTTGTTGCTAGTGCTTTTGGTGTTTTTGTGATTAAATATTTGCCTGTGCCTATGTCCTAAATGGTGTTGCCTACATTTTCTTCTAGGGTTTTTGAATTTTAAAATAGTTTCTTCTACTTCTGTGAAGAATGTCAATGGTAGTTTAATGGGAATAGCATAGAATCTATACATTTCTTTGGTCAGTATATCCATTTTCATGATATTGATTCTTCCTATCTATGAGCCCAGAATATTTTCCCATTTGTTTGTGCCCTCTCTGATTTCTTTGAGCAGTTGTTTGTAGTTCTCCTTGAAGAGGTCCTTCACTTCCCTTGTTAACTGTATTCCTAGGTATTTTATTCTCTTTGTAGCAATTGTGAATGGGAGTTCATTCATAATTTGGCTCTTTGCTTGCCTGTTAGTGTATAGGAATGCTAGTGATTTTTGCACATTGATTTTGTATCCTGAGACATCCCTGAAGTTGCTTATTAGCTTAGGAAGCTTTTGGGCTGAGATGATGGAGTTTTCTAGATATAGCTCATGTCATCTGCAAACAAAGATAATTTGACTTCCTCTCTTTCTGTTTGAATACCCTTTATTTCCTTCTCTTGCCTGATTGCCCTGGGCAGACCTTCCACTGCTATGTTGAATAGGACTGATGAGAGAGGGCATCCTTGTCTTGTGCCAGTTTTCAAGGGGAATGCTTCCAGCTTTTGCCCATTCAGTATGATTTTGGCTGTGGATTTGTCATACATTGCTTGTGTTATTTTGAGGTATGTTCCTTCAATACCTAGTTTATTGAGAGTTTTTTACATAAAGCGGTGTTGAATTTCATTGAAGGCCTTTTCTGCATCTATTGAGATAATCATGTGGTTTTTGTCTTCATTTCTGTTCATGTGATTAGTCACATTTATTGATTTGCGTATGTTGAATCAACCTGACATCCCGGGGATGAAGTCAACTTGATTGTGGTGGATAAGCTTTTTGATGTGCTGCTGCATTCGGTTTGCCAATATTTTATTGAGAATTTTGCATTGATGTTCATCAGTGATATTGGCCTTACGTTTTCTTTTTTGTTGTTGTATCTATGCCAGGTTTTGATATCAAGATGAAGCTGGACTCATAAAATGAGTTAGGGAGGAGTCCCTCCTTTTAATTGTTTGAAATACTTTCAGTAAAGATGATACCAGCTCTTCTTTATACCTCTCATACAATCCAGCTGTAAATCTGTCTTGCCCTGGGCTTTTTTTTTTTTTTTTTTTGGTTGATAGGCTATTTATTACTGCCTCAATTTCAGAACTTGTTATTGGTCTATTCAGGGATTTAATATCTTTCTCATTCAATCTTGAGAGGGTGTATGTGTCCAGGAATTTATCCATTTTTTAAAGATTTTCTAGTTTATGTGCATAGAGGTGTTTACAGTATTCTCTAATGGTTGTTTGTATTTCTGTGGGGTCAGTGATGGTATCCTCCTTATCATTTGTGATTGTTTGGGCTTCTGTTGAACCCATCTCCCAAATAGTAAACATAGTACATGATAGGTAGTTTTTCAACCCTAGCCCCGCTCCTTCCCTCCCTCCCCACTTTTGGAGTCCCCAGTGTCTATTGTTTCCATATTTATGTACATGTATACCCATTGATTTCCTCCTACTCAAGTCCTTGTTTTTATGTTTAGGACTGGGTTCTTAGCAAAAACAGAATTTCAGGACAGAAAGTCCTGCCGCTTTCTGGAAGAGTGAGAGAAGGAAAAATGGTGAAAGTCTATTTTAAGACAAATAGGAAAAGAAGGGAGAGGTCCAAGGAAGAAAGAGGAAAATAATAAAGAATGACAGGGAAAACCACTTTTCTACTTAGTTTAGTGAAACATTTGCTGAAATGGTTCAGGGATCCTTAAATATGTTTACCGAAGGGGTCTTAATAAATAATTATAAGTCTGTGGTGCTTTAAATACTGCCAGGAGTTTTCTGTAAATGTAATGTATTCATTTGCATGTATTTTGATTGGGATGTTCAATAATAGAACCATATCTGCTTTACTATGAACAAAACTTTAAGGAGCTACTATTTCTGACTTGGTGAACACTGGTTAAATAACCCAGGAGAACATTGAGGCACTGGACTATGGATTGTTTTCATGGTACTTAAGTATCTGGAAAGTAGCCTTCTAGTCAGGATATATTAAAGTAGGAGAAAGCAGAGATTGAAGATATTAATTTGTTGAGACTCACTAAACCAGGTTTCTCCACTACTGTCATTTGGGGTTGGGTACTATTTTGTTGTAGGGGGCTGTCCTGTGCATTGCAGAATGTTCAGCAGCATCTCTGGCCTCTACCGATTAGATGCCAATAGTAATTGTCTCCGAGTTGTAACAACCAAAAATGTCTCCAGACATTGCCAAATGTCCTCTGAATAACCCCTGATTTAGAACTACTGCTCTGAAACTAAGGTTAAGGTGTTACAATATTCTGTGTTTTTCTGTGTATTTACTATTACCAATGAGTTTTGCACCTTCAGATGATTATTTATTGCTCATTAATGTCACTTTATTTCTGATCGAAGTACTTTCTTTAGCATTTCTTGTAGGACAAGCCTCGCATTGATAAAATCTCTCAGCTGTTTTTTTTTTCCTCTGGGAATGTCTTTATTTCTCCTTCATGTTTGAAGAATATTTTTGCTGGATATACTATTCTAGGGTAAAAGTTATTTTTCTTCAGCACATCAAATATGCCATGCCACTCTCTCTCCTCCTGTAAGGTTTCCACTGAAAAGTCGGCTGTCAGATGTATTGGAATGCCATTGTATGTTATTTGTTTCCTTTCTCTTGCCCCTTTTAAGATCCAGTTTTTATCCCTGATCTTTGTGACTTTGATTAATAAATGCATTGAGGTAGTCTTTGGGGGTTAAATTGGCTTGTTCTATAACCTTGTACTTGCATATTGATATTTTCCCTAGGTTTGGGAAGTTCTCTGTTATTGTCCCTTTTAACAAACTTTCTACTTCTATCTCTTTCTCTACCTCCTCTTTAAAGCCAATACCTCTTAGATTTGCCCTTTTGAGTCTATTTTCTAGATCCTCTAGTTGTGCTTCATTGTTTTTTATTCTTTTTTCTTTTGTCTCCTCTGACTGTATATTTTCAAGTAGCCTGTCTTCAAGCTCACTAATTCTTTCTTCTGCTTGATCAATTCTGCTATTAAAGGACAGATATGGTCTTCAGTATGCCTATTGCATTTTTCAGTTCCAGAATTTCGTTTGATTCTTTTTAATTATTTCTATCTCTTTGTTAAATTTATCTGATAAAAGTCTGAATTTCTTCCCTGTGTCATCTTGAATTTCTTTGAGTTTTCTCAACACAATTATTTTGAATTCTCTGTCTGAAAGGTCACATATCTCTGTTTCTCCAGGATTGACCCCTGGTGCCTTATTTAGTTCATTTGGTGAGGTCATGTTTTCCTGAATGCCACTGATGCTAGAACATGGCCTTCAGTGTCTGGGCATTGGGGTATTAGGTATGTATTATAGTCCACTCTCCGGGCTTGTTTGTACCCGTCCTTCTTTGAAATTCTTTCCAGATAGTTTAGAGGATTTGGGTTTTGTGATCTCAGCTGTACCTGTTTTAGGGGGCACCCCAAGTCCAATAATGCTGTGATTCTTGCAGACTCATAGAGGTACTGACTTGATGGTCTTGGATCAGATTCAAGAGAATTCCCTGGTTTACCAGGCAGAGACTTGTCCTCTTCCCTTACTTTCTCCCAAACATACAGTCTCTCTTTACACTCAGAGCCAGGTAAAGCTGGGGGTAAAAAGACACAACTACCCATGTGACCACCACTACTATGACTGCACTGGGTCAAACCTAAAGCCAGCATAGCACTGAGTCTCACCCATGACCTGTTGTAATGACTTCCTGGCTACTGCCTATATTCACTCAAGGCCCTGGGACTCTACAGTCAGCAAGTGGCAATGTGAGCCAGGCTTGTGTCCTTCCCCTAGGACAGTGTGGTCTCCCAGGCCCCAGTTGGGTCCAGAAGGGCCATCCGGGAGACTGGGACTGGATTAAAAATTATTAGAAGTCTACTTGGTGTTCTATTGTATTGTAGCTAAGCTGGCACTCAAATCACAAAACATAGTCCTTCTCACTCTTCCTTTCCCTTTCCTCCCCTTTCCAAAGTCAGAGGAGCCTCACCCCTTAAGCCACCAGAATTCCAGGCCATAAGGAGTACTGTAATACTACTACTGATGTTCTCTTAAGGCCCAAGGTCTCTTAAGTCAGCTTGTGGTGAATGCTGCCTTTCCTGGGACGCACCCTTTAGGGAAGTGGACTTCCCTCTGGCTTAGGGCGGGTCCGGAAATGCTGTCCAAGAGTTAAGTCCTGGAATCGGGGACCCTAAGAGCCCACTTGATGCTCTACCCCTCTGTGGTGGTGCTTGTGCCCTGAAGTGCAGGAAAAAGTACCCTTTATATTTCCCTCTGCTTTTCTCCAGAAGGAGTTTTGCTCCGTAGCCACCACAGCTGGTAATGTCCTAAGTCTTACCTGAAGCCAGCAAGTCTCAGAGGCTTACCCAAGGCCATCGATGTAGTACCTGTGTATCACTACTGGTTATTAAGGGCCCAAGGGCTCTTCATTTAGCAGGTGATGAATGCTGTCAGGATGGAGTCTTTTCCTTCAAGGCAATGGGTTCCCTTCTGGCCCAATGTGTGTCTAGAAATGTTGCCTGGGAGCTAAAGCCTGGAATGGGGGCCTCATGACTCTTATCAGTGCCCTATTCTGCTGTGGTTCAGCTGGTATCCCAGATGCAAGACAAAGTCCTCTCACTCTTCCCTCATCTCTCATCAAGCAGAAGGAAGTAGTCTCTTTTGGAACCTGTAGCTGTGCAGCCTGGGGTTAGGGGAGGGGTGATGCCAGCACTACCTTGGCTGCCCCAGCTTGTGTTTTAGTATGCCCCACGCCCCTCCAGTACATCATCTCTGGGCCTAGTCAGCTCTAGGTCTCGCGTAATATTTGCAGTCCTTATGGACTAGAATGTCTTTCAAGTTTACTTGGAGACTCGGAGTGTTGTAGCCCGCAAACAGTGGTGAGGTTTGCAGAAAATCAAGTTCTAGTTGCTGGGCTAGGCGATTCCCTTCTGGCTAGGGCTGGTTTTAATGCTTCCTGTGTAGGCAGGCATCAGCTGAGTTTGATCTTGTTTTCCTTTCTGCCCTAACAGGGCAGCACTGTGTTCAGTGCCTTACAGTTGCTGTGTTCTCCCTCCCTGAACACCCAGAGATGCTCTCTGTACCATGATTCTGCTGCTGGGGATAGGAGAGCAGTGGCATCAGTGATTCAGGACTTTTTTTTCTATCTCTTCAGTGCCTCTTTCAGTGATATGAAGTTAAAACCAGGTTCTGTGAGTGCTCACCTGATTTTTGGTTCTCATGAAAGTTTGTTTTTTTGTTTGTTTGGTTTTTATGTTTTTGGTTTTGAGACTGAGTCTTGCCCTGTCACCCAGGCTGGAGTGCAGTGGCCCGATCTCGGCTTACTCCAACCTCCACTTCCCAGTTCAAGTGATCCTCCTGCCTCAGCCTCCTAAGTATCTGGGATTACAGGCATGCGCCACCACACCAGCTAATTTTTGTATTTTTAGTAGAGATGGAGTTTCACCATGTTGGCCAGGCTAGTCTCAAACTCCTGATCTCAAGTGATCCACCCGCCTCAGCCTTGCAACGTGCTGGGATTACAGGTGTGAGCTACCATGCTTGGCCAATTTTTTTTTTTTTTTTCTGTGTAGATAGTAGTGTACTTGGTGTCTTTGTGGAAGGGACGATTAGGGTAGCTTTCTACTCTGCCATCTTGCTCTTGTTCTCTCAAGATTCTCAAAAATAATATTTTGGATAAGGTTAAACTTACCACTAATGCTGGTACTATTTTTTATTATTAGCCTTGGGCATGACTATTAAAAGATTTTATATATATCCATCTTATTAGATGCTATCTTATTTTAGGGCAGTATTTATGGTGCTGAGGTAATTACACTTTAAGCATGCACACTTTCACATGGTTTCTATAGATCTGTAATGATGTCACTGTTTGGAGGTCCATTGCAATCTAGTAATTAAAAGTCGCTCTAGAATGCTTTTGTTGTTAGCTTTTATGCAGTTCACCTGAAACCAAATTGTCTCATGTTCTCCACCACCCCAATTCTATCTACACACGTACATATTTCACTCTAGTGACCTCTCCCGTGTGCCTTTGCCTCGTTGATCTCATAATATTTTTTGAAAGATTGAGGAGGGGCACATAGAGAAGAGAACTGCAAAACCAAGTGTTTCGGGGGTTATTTTGTGATTTCATTATAAGAGCTCTAATTCTGAATGACCCAATAATTTAATTTTAGTATATGCTAAATATTGAATATGCAGTCCTTAAATTTTAGTATGAATTCAAGAGAATTCACTGTGATTCAAATGACCCTTTCTACTTTACTCTCACTTCCATATACATTTGAAAAGAAGTAAAAATTTTTAGGAATACAGATTCTAAATATTCACAGTTCAGTGTAAATGCCAAAATTAAAGAGATTGGATAAGAGTTAGAGTACAATTATTTGCTTAGGATGACATATGTCCAAGTCATAGAGAAAATGACTGGCAAGAATATCTTATTTATTACCGAAGACAGAAGAAGCATAGTTTATGTTTATGAGAAATTATGTGATAGAGTACATGGGTTCTAAATGTTTGTTCTCTGGCTGATTCTTTTCTTCTTTTCATTCTTCAAGCATTGTCTCATCAAAGAACTCTTCATGATATTATCATATTTCCACATTCAAGAAACATTTAATCTAAGAGTCATTATCTCTATAAAAACAACTGGTACATCTAGAAATGGAGATAAAACACTTGGCAGGGAATATAAACCCTTAGCTATCCAAAATGTATAAAAGTTGAATATGAATGAAACAGAAAATTCTTTACTAATTGTTTGGTTTTATTTTCTTTAAAGCCCACTGTATAAGCATGTACTAGATCTGTGAGTATATGTTATCTTACATAATGTGAAATTTAACATAAAAATGTGGGGAAAATATGGGAATGCACTTTCTACCAAAGAGCATTAAAATAGTTTGTTTCTTTGAGGTAGAAGAAGGGATGAGAGTGTAAAATTCAGTCATATTTACTTATTTTAATTTTTATATAATTTACCTATTTGTAGTGATCTGTAGAAAAGATTGGGCAAATACTCCGTTTCCTCCTCCCCATTCCATTTGCATCCTGACCCAGAAGCATGACAACTCCCCAAAAGAGGATGTACATATGAAGCTCCATTCCCTTAATGAAATCTTCATTTCCCTTCTTTAGAACTTATCAACAAACTGTATGAAATAATTGTTGTTCTGTGGCATTTAACCTACTCAAACTTTTGATTTTCAAAATTTTTTATAAGATAGAGAGCATATATATTTTAATAACACTGAACTTACTGGAATATGCATGCTCAGAAGTTAGAAAAACAGAGACTACCAGTCCTCGCAATCAAATGTAGCATCTTTTGACAAGTAAATAAAGTTTTAAGTTAGTTATATTTTCACAGCTCTTTCTCGGATACCTGATTCCTTTGATTATACATACTGTACTTGCCTTCATTCTGTTATCTACCACTATCTCTATGTAGTAGAATACAAAGTCAGGCGACAGATTTAAAGATACATTTAAAGTAAACTTTACTGAACTCCAAATTAGCATCACATTTTCTGAAGTTTTCAGGTGCCTTAGCCATATGTCACTTCCTTTTATTGTCTTCATTGAATGTTCTCACCTACTTCCTGTACTAAACACCACAACGGAAGAGAATACATATATGCATGTGTATACACATATCAGAAGAGTTTCTCTGTTTTGTAATTTAGAAAACCTAAATTATAAAACTCCCATCTTTAATTTAACAACTTTTATTTTGAAAAACGAGATGAGTTCATATGTATTTTCAGATTTTTTGACTTTAGTCATTCCAAAGTTTATTCCAAACCTATGCTCAAAATGTGTGTATATAAACTTTTATATACCTTTGCATACCAACCTACAACCACACAATGAAACTTCTGAAAATACCTGGGTGAGTAAAGTCATCGAAATCTGCATTTATTTTATTTATTTATTTTTTTGAGGCAGGATCTTGCTCTGTTGCCCAGGCTGGGGTGCAGTGGTGCAATCATGGCTCACTGCAGCCTCAACCACCTGGGGTAAAGTAATCCTCCCACCTCAGCCTCCCTAGTAGCTGGGACTACATGCGTGCGACACTATACTTGGCTTTTTTTTTTTTTTAATTTTGCTTTTTTCATAGAGACAGAGGTCTTGCTACATTGCCCAGGCTGGTCTCAAACTCCTGGGCTCCAGCAATCACCCTGACTCAGCCTCTCAAAATGATGGGATTACAAGCATGAGCCACCATGTCCAGCCGAACTCTACAAATTTTACTAATAATCTAGCAAATACGAAGTCATCAAACAGTCCAGAAATCAGACTATGTGACCGTTAACATGACTTTCAACTCAACAAGCCTCCTATCATTGTATTTTCTACTCTTACTGGATAAGTGGTCATTTGACATCTCACCGTTACTGTTTCTCTAACTTTTAAGTATATCAGTAAGGCATTAGCTTCTGAAGGGTTTAATTTAGTTTGGTTATTCCAAGTGATCCTTAAAACCTTCAAAACAGACGTGTCAATGTTAATATCTCTTCTTTTCATGGTGAATGGTCTCTTTCTGCTATTGTCAATATTTCCTGGAAAATCACTAACCCTTTGTGGAATTCCTAAACAATAAACCACCACAGGGAATAGGAGTAGATGTTAAAGAATTTACATTAATTCAAATACTAACAACAGTCAAGTAGAAGAAAGTTCTTTGTTTAGGAAAAACAGGATGGGAGAAGGGGAAAACACATTGAGCTGAGGAAAGAAAAAACTTTATCTGAGTGCAGCCAAACCAGATGACACAAAAATGTATCACACATGCTCTACAGAAGATATCAAGTGATTTAGCTGGGCCGGCTCTATGTGCAACAGGTGGTAGAGACTTTAGATGGAGAAATTATGGAAAGACTGCCCTCACTTTCTTGAGGCCACTATCACAGAGTACCTAGATGTACCAGGGATCAGCATGACAAAATGAGGTTTCAGACAAAGTAGTGGAAGTGGCCAATGATAAAAAAGAGGAGCAGTACTTAAGAGGGTGTTAAAAAGCAAAGTCACCATTTTGCCAGAGGCTGTGCCATTCATTCATTCATCCATTCATTTTGCAAGATTCATTCAGTAAGCATTTATTGAGCACTCCCTTTTTTGCAGGGCACTGACAGAGATGTGAAGAGACAAAAACACATAAACATTCAAGGAGTGTATAAGTTTAGTGGGGAAAATGTATGTGTTCACAAATAACTCTAATAACAAAGGGAAGTGCTAATTACTTATGTGACTCAGTTACAATGTAAGAGGGCTAGATTGAACCGCATTATTTCTCAGGTCCTTTTTAACTCTGATTCTAGCTCTGTGATTTTAAATATTCAAGTAGATAAACAGCATATTACCAGAGCACAGAGGAGGGAAAGGGTAATGTTAATCATGACTAGAAAGTATCAGGAATGTCAAGGTTAAAGTGCCATTTGATTTAGAACTTTAGAGATAAATGCGTGATAGTAGGTAGAACAGGTGGGAGTGGGTGGCTTTCCGGAGCAAAGAAACAACACAAGCAAAAGCTTTAAGGAATGAAGGTACTTTACTTTATTTGTTGTTAAGCGTTTTGTTTTTACTTTTCTTTTTCTCAATTTCAACTTTTATTTCAGAGTCGGGGGGTACATGTGACGATTTGTTACATAGGTTTATTGTGTGATGCTGAGGGTGGGGTGCACTTGATCCTGTCACCCAGAGAGCAAGCATAGTACCTTATAGGTAGTTTTTCAGCCTTTTTCCCTGTTTTGGTGTCCCTAGTATCTATTGTCCCCATCTCTGTGTCCACGCGTACACAATGTTTAGCTCCCATTTATAAGTGAGAACACATGGTATTTGGTCTTTTGTTCCTGCATTAATTTGCTTAGGTTAACAGCCTCCAGCTGCATCCATGTTGCTGCAAATGACATAATTTTATTCTTTTTATGACTGCATGGTATTTCACAGTGTATTTGTACCACATTTTCTTTATCCAATCCACTGTGGATGGGCACTTAGGCTGATTTCATGTCTTTGCTATTGTGAATAGTACCACAATGAACATGTACGACCATGTGTCTTTTTGGTAGAATTATATATTTCCCTTTGAGCATATACCTAGTAATGGGATTGCTGGGTTGAATGGTAGTTCTGTTTTAAGTTTTTTGAGAAATCTCCAAACTACTTTCCACGGTGGTTGAATTAATTTACATCTCCATCAACAGCGTATAAGCATTCCCTTTTCTCCACAACTTTGCTAGTATCTCTTTCATTTTTTTTTTAGAGACAGAATCTCACTCTGTTGCCCAGAGTACAGTGCCGCAATCAAACTTCACTGTAGCTTTGAACTCTTGGATTCACATTATACTCTGGCCTTAGCCTCCTGAATAGCTAGGACTACAGTTGTGCACCACCACACTCAGCTAAGTTTTTCTGTTTGTTTGTTTATTTGTTTCTTAATAGTTGTAGAGATGTTGCCCAGGATGGTCTTGAACTCTGGCCTCAAGTCATTCTCCTGCCTCAGTCTTTCAAAGTCCTGGTATTACAGGTGTGAGCCACCATGCATGGCCTTTCTTAGGAAAGAAAAAAAAATTATCTAATCAGTAGTCATAAATTAATAATAAAATTTGATGTTTAAAATGGATTTCATTTTGGTTTAACAGACAGTTCTCCTTAGATGTGCTGAAAACAATTTCCATCTTCTTACTCCACTCTTTACAAAAATATTCTTTTTGAATATTCTTGTTTAGAGTTTTGTTTATTGTTTCTATAATACTATTTGTTTCACAGTTGGTATATTTACATATTTCATTCTATTAACATTCCAAGACAAACCTGGTCTTAAGTAAAATGCTGGATTGAAGGGGTGTTGTTTAAATGTCTCTGAAAATTGAACAAAGAATGTAAAAATTCTAAAGTGCATGAAAAATAGATCTTGTGAATGCAGAAACACTAACAAAATACTTTAGTTTTTAAAGATAATTGATAATTTAATCTGACTGAGATCCCTATGTATAACTCATACTGAGCGCCTACACTCATGTACAAGTTCCCGTAATAGGCCCTAAAAAGGAGGGCTCTAATTTTAGGGAGTCTATTAGAGAGTCTAGGAGCCAAACACACAAATAAGCCTATTGCAATACAATGCCATGCAGAATATAAAGAAAAACCGTTAAAGGATACCAAAAACAAATCTTCATTAGACCTCAATGAGTTAAAAATTAAGATCTTAACAACCACTACAGACTGTTGGTAGAACAAATGCCATGAAGTTGGACTACTTCACACTACATAAAGTAATTCCCTTAGAATTTTGTTGCTTAGAGATTTTTTTTCTCCTTTCTCTTTCTTCCACTTTCTTTTCCTTTTCTCTTCTTTTTTCCCTTACTGAAACCACACTCTCTCATCTATACATCATCTTTAGGGTTCTTTACATTTCTATTAATACTTCTGCTCATCCCCCTGCCTCTGATCTTTATCACCCTTTCGAGGCCAATGCAAGAGTTTGTTACTCAGGTATATTTTCCAAATTCCTTTACGAATTGCATTTATTTCAAAAATCTAAGCTAATTTTTTTCTAGTACATATTGAGTTTGACTTTGTTTTCTATTTAATTTGACATTTATAGACATGATGAGGAAAGACAGTTACCATAAGAAGAATTGACAGAAATACTGTATTTTATTTTACATTACTTAAAGAATCTTTCACTAACATTGCCAAAGAATCTAATATTGAATAACTTAAAATATTTTAAAAGACTGGGGTAAGAATTTTAGCTTCGTTAAAACTGTGAACATAATTTTTTTGTCTTACCCACATCACATTTGGATATGTAACACATATGTACTTTGTCAGAAGGTTTTGTTTTTAAGTAACTGAAATATCAGTGGAATGTTTTTTTCAGAAACTCATAAAGAACTGGTGCCTTTTCATTTTGATTTGTAAATATGTTTTGTTTGTTATGGCTTCATACTTCACTGTATAGAGTTTCTTCATAAATGGAGGTAGACATTTTATCTGCAGTTTCACATTCTCTAATTTAAAGAGATTTATTATCAGTCCACAGTTTTTGTGCTTCTTTATTTCTTTTTCCCTTTTGTTTCTTTCTTTTTTTTTTTTTTTTTTTTTTTTTTTGAGACGGAGTCTCGCACTGTCACCCTGGCTTGAGTGCAATGGAGCGATCTCGGCTCACTGCAACCCCCGCCTCCCAGGTTCAAGCGATTCTCCTGCCTCAGCTTCCTGAGTAGCTGGGATTACAGGCACCCGCCACCACGCCCAGCTAATTTTTTGTATTTTTAGTAGAGACAGGGTCTCACCATATCAGCCAGGCTGGTCTCAAACTCCTGACCTCGTGATCCACCGCATCAGCCACCAAAAGTGCTGGGATTACAGGCGTGAGCCACCATGCCCAGCCTCTTTATTTCTTGACACAAATATCACATAACTAAAAGCATTTCCAAAATGTTACCACTGCCAGTTCATTGAAGTATTTCTATGTTTCACAGAGCAGGTTTAAAACAAACAAAAAAAAAAACTAAGATGATCTTTTGGGTTCTTAAACATTGCTTTAAACCCTGATTTTCCAGATTATCTTTTATTTAGACAATCATGTATCCTTAAGCATGTGTGATTTTCACTTTGCGACAGCGATAAAGTTTTCAAAATTTCCTTAAAGTACACTTCTGTTTTTGTTTTGTATTTGTTTTTGTTTTTGTTTTTTGTATGGTTAAAGATCAAACAACAGCTAGCTTCAAAATTACCTGGCTAATAACCATTAACAAGAAGGTTATAGTCAAGGATACCACATTTCTCAAATCAAACAAAGACACAGACCATACAATAAGGTAGACTATTTGCAATTCATTTTATACTAGAAAATTTTTAATATATAAGTAGCAACGATGGCTAAAATGAGTATCTAATACAGTGACTTTTCTCTCCTTTTTCTTAATATATTATAACCCCCATTAAATTCAAATTAAACAACTTTACTGAGAACCTCTTATCATGGCAGCACTGTGCCAGGCACTGTTGGGCATGCACAAAATTACAACTGACTCATTTAATGGTGAATTACAGTATACAAAACTTTCATATGTATATTGGCACATCTGTTTAGCCTAATAACTTATAAAGAAAGCATAAGGCAGTCTTTATTTTATAGGAGCCAAGATAAATTAAAAGACGTCAAAAGTGACATAGCAATTATGACGTGGGTTCAAGTACAGGTTTTCTAACTCACAAGCCAGTCCTTTTTGTGATCTGTGTTTATAGCATAAAGGCAGGATACCTCAATTTAGGGAGTTCATAATCTAGATAGAAAATAGTTAAATAACAATACACTAAAATAACATTGTAACATCCTGTATTCCCAGCACTTTGGGAGGCCGAGGCAGGCAGATCACGAGGTCAGGAGATTGAGACCATCCTGGCCAACACGGAGAAACCTCGTCTCTACTAAAAATACAAAAATTAGCTGGGCGTGGTGGCATGTGCTTGTAATCCCAGCTTCTTGGGAGGCTGAGGCAGGAGAATCGCTTGAACCTAGGATGTGGAGATTGCAGTGAGAGGAGATTGTGCCACTGCACTCCAGCCTGGCAACAGAGAGAGATTCCGTCTCAATAATAATAATAATAATAATATTGTAACATAACAATAAAGGAACTGTCAATGGCAGTAGATTGGAGAATAAATTTGAAGTCTGAGAGTTAAACACAATTCCAAAAAAAAATACCAACATGGTAAACTCCACAGAAACATAAAACTTCTGCAAAACACTAAAAACAGCCTTACAATGTTAAAAATAATGAACCAATAAAATCTAGCAAAAGAAATGACAAGAGAGTATTGTTTGTAGTCTTTTTGATGAGCCCATAGAAATTGAAACAAAGACATTAAAAACCTAGCAGATGAATGGGCAAAGAAAATAGACAATTCATAAGAAAGGATCTAGCAGTAAATCAACATGTGAAAAAATGTTCAACCTTACTACGACAGTGTTTGAAGAAATAGAAGAAAACACAAAGAAATACTATTTAGAATAATATATAAGTTTTAAAATTAGAGGATGATACACAGAACTAATGTGTGTATAAAATTGTTGTAACCTTATATTGTTAGTGGCATAAGAGCCATAACAATATGCATTCTCTTTTCCTCAAAAATATAATTTCTGGAAATTCATTCTAAGAAAATCATCCAAACCTAAAAAAACTTTATGCCTAAAAATATTAATCAAAATATTGTCTACAATAACAACAGAATAGGGGAAGCAGCCCAAGTACTTAACAATAGGAAGAGGCTTAGGTGAAGTATAATCCATGCACACTACAGATTGTTGCCAAACTATTATAAATAGTCTGTCTGAAGATGGCAGCAAAAAATATGCTTAGAAAACATTGTTGATTGAAAATGTACATAAAACATGGCTGACATGGAATATAAAAATTGCAATCAGTATTTGAAAATTTGCTGGTCCTCTTTTTTCAGGCTAAGCTATTTCTACTCTGATTCACACATATATTGCCCTGTTTAATATTCATAGAATCTCTGGGAAATAAGGTTGTTTTGTTTTTATATTCCAGATGAGAAAATTGAGACTTAGACATGCTAAGCACTAGTCCAAAGTCACAAAGATCATAAATGATGATATACTGGATGCAAAACCTATGCTCACAAAAACAGCAAGTTTTCCATTTAGGAACCTGGGATTCTGGTTTGGCTTCCTCACACAAACACCCTCCCCTTTCTTAAACAATTCTTCCATGTTGTACTGTTTCTATAATAAAAAATTACAAATATGTAATTTAATAAGAAGGCAACTGAAGATTCATGACCAAATGAACAATTGTTAAAGGAATTAAAAGAAAAAGAGGTCACTTCTGGTTTATTGTCTTGAGAATGCTTTAAGAAAAAAACAAAATTGGGAGGGTATTAGGAAGCATGGGTGGAGGTTGCAGAAGTAAAGGCAATAAGATCGGATATTTCCAAGGAAGTAAAAGGACTGGCAAAAGCTTGGTGGTAGCAGTGCAGAATGGAAGCTGTATTTAGGACATAGTCAATAAACCTGTTTGACTGGAGAGAAAGATACCTGTGAGGTGTGAGGGGGCAGTGAAAGTTAAGGCCAGAGAATTAAAATTGGGGCCAAAGCATAAGTAGCTTTAATTTTAATTAATTTTAATTTATTTTTAATTTTAATTAAGACAAATGGGGTTTTACCTTATTCTCAGGAGCAATAGAGAGCCACTGAGGAAGAAGTCTCTTCTTTATGTTTCTTTAAAGCACGTTGCATTTCTGTTTTTCTTTTTTTTTTTTTTTTTTTAGTATTATACTTTAAGTTCTAGGATACATGTGCACAACCTGCAGGTTTGTTACATATGTATACATGTGCCATGTTGGTGTGCTGCACCCATTAACTCATCTTTTACATTAGATATATCTCCTAATGCTATCCCTCCCCTCTCCCCCCACCCCACAGCAGGCCCTGGTGTGTGATGTTCCCCTTCCTGTGTCCAAGTGTTCCCATTGTTCAATTCCCACCTATGAGCGAGAATATGCGGTGTTTGGTTTTCTGTCCTTGCGAGAGTTTGCTGAGAATGATGGTTTCCACCTTCATCCATGTCCCTACAAAGGACGTGAACTCATCCTTTTTAATGGCTGCATAGTATTCCACGGTGTATATGTGCCACATTTTCTTTCTTTTTTCATTTATTTATTTTTATTATTATTATACCTTAAGTTTTAGGGTACATGTGCACAACGTGCAGGTTTATTACATATGTATACATGTGCCATGTTGGTGTGCTGCACCCATTAACTCATCATTTAGCATTAGGTATATCTCCTAATGCTTTCCGTCACCCCTCCCCCACCCCACAACAGTCCCCGATGTGTGATGTTCCCCTTCCTGTATCCATGTGTTCTCACTGTTCAGTTCCCACCTATGAGTGAGAACATGTGGTGTTTGGGTGTTTGGTTTCTCGTCCTTGCGATAGTTTGCTGAGAATGATGGTTTCCAGCTTCATCCATGTCCCTACAAAGGACATGAACTCATCATTTTTTATGGCTGCATAGTATTCCATGGTGTATATGTGCTGCATTTTCTTAATCCAGTCTATCATTGCTGGACATTTGGGTTGGTTCCAAGTCTTTGCTATTGTGAATAGTGCCGCAATAAACATACGTGTGCATGTGTCTTTATAGCAGCATGTTTTATAATCCTTTGGGTATATACCCAGTAATGGGATGGCTGGGTCAAATGGTATTTCTAGCCCTAGATCCCTGAGGAATCGCCACACTGACTTCCACAATGGTTGAACTAGTTTACAGTCCCACCAACAGTGTAAAAGTGTTCCTATTTCTCCACATCCTCTCCAGCACCTCCTGTTTCCTGACTTTTAATGATCGCCATTCTAACTGGTGTGAGATGGTATCCCATTGTTTTTTTGATTTGCATTTCTCTGATGGCCAGTGATGATGAGCATTTATTCATGTGTTCTTTGGCTGCATAAATGTCTTCTTTTGAGAAGTGTCTGTTCATATCCTTCACCCACTTTTTGATGGGGTTGTTTTTTTTTTCTTGTAAATTTCTTTGAGTTCATTGTAGATTCTGGATATTAGCCTTTTGTCAGATGAGCAGATTGCAAAAATTTTCTCCCATTCTGTAGGTTGCCTGTTCACTCTGATGGTAGTTTCTTTTGCTGTGCAGAAGCTCTTTAGTTCAATTAGATCCCATTTGTCAATTTTGGCTTTTGTTGCCATTGCTTTTGGTGTTTTAGACATGAAGTCCTTGCCCATGCCTATGTCCTGAATGGTATTGCCTAGGTTTTCTTCCAGGGTTTTTATGGTTTTAGGTCTTACATTTAAGTCTTTAATCCATCTTGAATTGATTTTTGTATAAGATATAAGGAAGGGATCCAGTTTCAGCTTTCTACCTATGGCTAGCCGGTTTTCCCAGCACCATTTATTAAATAGGGAATCCTTTCCCCATTTCTTGTTTTTGTAAGGTTTGTCAAAGATCAGATAGTTGTAGATATGTGGCATTGTTTCTGAGGGCTCTGTTCTGTTCCATTGGTCTATATCTCTGTTTTGGTACCAGTACCATGCTGTTTTGGTTACTGTAGCCTTGTAGTATAGTTTGAAGTCAGGTAGCGTGATGCCTCCAGCTTTGTTGTTTTGGCTTAGCATTGACTTGGCAATGTGGGCTCTTTTTCGGTTCCATATGAACTTTAAATTAGTTTTTTCCAGTTCTGTGAAGAAAGTCATTGGTAGCTTGATGGGGATGGCATTGAATCTATAAATTACCTTGGGCAGTATGGCTATTTTCATGATATTGATTCTTCCTACCCATGAGCATGGAATGTTCTTCCTTTTGTTTGTATCCTCCTTTATTTCATTGAGCAGTGGTTTGTAGTTCTCCTTGAAGAGGTCCTTCACATCCCTTGTAAGCTGGATTCCTAGGTATTTTATTCTCTTTGAAGCAATTGTGAATGGGAGCTGACGCATGATTTGGCTCTCTGTTTGTCTGTTATTGGTGTATAAGAATGCTTGTGATTTTTGCAGATTGATTTTGTATCCTGAGACTTTGCTGAAGTTGCTTATCATCTTAAGGAGATTTTGGGCTGAGACAATGGGGTTTTCTAGATATACAATCATGTCATCTGCAAACAGGGACAATTTGACTTCCTCTTTTCCTAATTGAATACCCTTTATTTCCTTCTCCTGCCTGATTGCCCTGGCCAGAACTTCCAACACTATGTTGAATAGGAGTGGTGAGAGAGGGCATCTTTGTCTTGTGCCAGTTTTCAAAGGGAATGCTTCCAGTTTTTGTCCATTCAGTATGATATTGGCTGTGGGTTTGTCATAGATAGCTCTTATTATTTTGAGATATGTCCCATCAATACCTAATTTATTGAGAGTTTTTAGCATGAAGGGCTGTTGAATTTTGTCAAAGGCCTTTTCTGCGTCTATTGAGATAATCACGTGGTTTTTGTCATTGGTTCTGTTTATATGCTGGATTACATTTATTGATTTGCGTATATTGAACCAGCCTTGCATCCCAGGGATGAAGCCGACTTGATCGTGGTGGATAAGCTTTTTGATGTGCTGCTGGATTCGGTTTGCCAATATTTTATTGAGGATTTTCGCATCAATGTTCATCAAGGATATTGGTCTAAAATTCTCTTTTTTTGTTTGTCTCTGCCAGGCTTTGGTATCAGGATGATGCTGGCCTCATAAAATGAGTTAGGGAGGATTCCCTCTTTTTCTATTGATTGGAATAGTTTCAGAAGGAATTGTACCAGCTCCTCCTTGTATCTCTGGTAGAATTCGGCTGTGAATCCATCTGGTCCTGGACTCTTTTTTGTTGGTAAGCTATTAATTATTGCCTCAATTTCAAAGCCTGTTATTGGTCTATTCAGAGATTCAACTTCTTCCTGGTTCAGTCTTGGGAGGGTGTATGTGTCGAGGAATTTATCAATTTCTTCTAGATTTTCTAGTTTATTCACGTAGAGGCATTTATAGTATTCTCTGATGGTAGTTTGTATTTCTGTGGGATCGGTGGTGATATCCCCTTTATCATTTTTTATTGCATCTATTTGATTCTTCTCTCTTTTTTTCTCTATTAGTCTTGCTAGCGGTCTATCAATTTTGTTGATTTTTTCAAAAAACCAGCTCCTGGATTCATTGATTTTCTTGAAGGGTTTTTTGTGTCTCTATTTCCTTCAGTTCTGCTCTGATCTTAGTTATTTCTTGCCTTCGGCTAGCTTTTGAATGTGTTTGCTCTTGCTTCTCTAGTTCTTTTAATTGTGATGTTTGGTGTCAATTTTAGATCTTTCCTGCTTTCTCTTGTGGGCATGTGCCACATTTTCTTAATCCAGTCTATCATTGATGGACATTTGGGTTAGTTCCAATCTTTGCTACTGTGAATAGTGCCGCAATAGACATACATGTGCATGTGTCTTTATGGCAGCATGATTTATAATCCTTTGGGTATATACCCAGTAATGGGATGGGTGGGTCAAATGGTATTTCTAGTTCTTTGTAAAAGGTTAATATAATAGACAAAGATGGACAGAAGCAGGCAGAGAGAACACTCAAGGGGCTTTCAAAATATGCCAACAGCTAATTGATAGGAGGCTGCAGTGGGAATGGCAGCACAGCAAATGGAAAGTAACAGACATGAGAGATATTGTCAGAGAATACTTGGCAGAATATGGTGACTGATTTGATATGGGGTGAAGGAAAGGAAAGTCATTGTTTGGTTTCCTAACACTCTTTCTCACAACTTGATAAAAGTGCTGTTGGCTCCTACTTTCAGTTCAAATATTTTTGAATTAATTTTTGTACTTTGTTTACTTCCAAGTGTTTCACAATGCCTCCCGAGAAACTTAGACACCCTACAATCCTGAGAAAATTAGACACTAGCGTGTAGAAAAGCTGGTTTCCATTCTAATCATTTTAAAAAGTATTTATAGCTCCCTAGTTAATATCTACACTCTTTAAGCTACAGTCCACCATATGGAGCAACTACAGAGTTTGTAATCAAGGAAAACAGAAGCAAAGTTTATCTTAGGAGAAGAGATTCACAGGCCCATCTTCTCATTTTGTAAAGGATAAAACTCAGGTCCTCAGAGGGTTCCTGAATGGAGGGTTTGCAGCCTAAGTTTGCCCAGTACTCTTTCTTTGGCAAAACTCGTTTTTCATATCAGCATTTTCTTCCAAAGTTTCTAGGTTGCCCTGAAAATCTGCAGTATGACTGGAGGGTGACAGTTTCCTTAACATATAGCATTGAACTTAGCCAAGAAATCAGGATTAATGAGGTCCTGATTTCTACTAGAAACATGAAATAATGCATCATTTTTATGTCAAATATTCTGTAGTTTTTATAGTTTTTCTATTCAATGTGCTGGGGCCTCTTGTCAAAAGATCTTTTAAAAATATTACCGGGGGCATTCAAATGGAGTAACATAATGATTTATAAAATCTCCTTTGTGGGTCAGGCATGAAAACAAAAACATGTAAACCAAAATGTCTACTTCTGTGAAAATTGCTGTTTCAACTCAGTAATAAATAGGTACATAGTGAACAAGTAAACATTAAAAGAAAAACTTTGAATTCATATCCCTAACTTAGATGATCCATCAGTTAGTGTCATGTTAACAAAGCTCTGGGACATATCTTCAGGCCAAGGTAGACATGACTGAGGCTGCTTCCACAAGGTCATCATTCAGCCAGGATATCTTAATCTAGCAGATTCTGTGGAGATAGAGGGAGTGAAGGGGTATGGATGGGTGAATGAAGAGCACCTGGTAGAATAAGAGGGGTAAAAGTCAGATAATTTCTAGTGGGCACTGAATCCAGAATAATGTTAGATGGCCAAGGGATGATGATAGCAGCACCTCTGCTCATTGAGACCCAGAGTAAATCATCACAATGTGACATTGGGTTAGGCTGAAGGCCAGACTGCATATTTCAATGACCGTCCCTCACACCCGTTTATTTATTGTTACCAGCCAGTCTCTGAGCAACTTGAGCAACGCTAGTTGTTACTGTTTGCCCATCTACAGTATCGATCATGCTGAGCCTAAAGCTATGAAAAATAAAACAAAAATCCTTTCATACAGGTTATAGACTTCACTGGTCCTAAATTCTGAGAGAATAAACAAACAAACAAAAACAAAAACAAAACAAAACAAAAAAAAAACCCTCCATCAAGAGGAAATTCCTGAAATGAAAAACTGATTATAAAAAAAGAAAAAGAAAATGATATAGCATAGAGAAAGGCATTAATTATTTTTTTGTTTGATTATCTGTAAAAAGTTTTTTTGTGGAGGAAGGAGTAACAACTGGGTCAGAGAGAGACGATAAAGCCAGGAGGTTGCAGAGTGCAGTAGAAAGAGCCCTGTGTGAAGCTGAGGGAACAGGAACTTCCAGTCTTGCTTTCCTGCTAACTGACTAGGAACTTTGTGCAAGGTACTCCTTTGCTAGACAGCCAGAGGGAAAGATGAACCAAGCTTCTAAGGTCACTGCCAGCTCTGACATTTCATGATTCTATGAGGTCCCATTCTTTTGCTGTCTGTTTTCAAAAGATCAAATCCTTCAAACATAGCTATTTTGGTAGTACCTTCCCTGAGAAGGCACAAGTACATTTGTAACAATAATCTTGTCTTTATATAGATGTTTGGTCATGTCAGGACCTTTAATTGGAGGTTTGGGTTTTTTTCTGTGCGATTAGGAACCAATAGAACTCACAACTTAGATTTTTTTACCCAAATTTATTTTCTCTATCTCTAAAATATACCCACCAATTTTAATAAAATTATATTGATAAATATCAGGCCACCAGCAAGGAAAGGGAAAATCATAGAGAAGCAGAAGCATCAGCTCCCAGACTTTCTAGTAGAAAATACATAATGCAAAAGTACAGATTCCTCTTGCCTAAGCAAACATCCCTTTTACAGGTAGTAAGGCCGTGAAATGGTAAACAGGTTTAGCTATACTAACTCTTGCCATAAGGGGAGGAGAAGCATATAAAGACTAGGGGGTCCAGCATCCAAATCTATGTGCAGAGAGTACCAATATCAAGCATAAGTCACACAAGTGGCAGGAAGGACATACAAAGGTTTGTAGTTCTGATGGAACTCTCCTCATCATAACTGCTTAAAATACTAATGGACACTGAGATTGAGGCAAGGAGTCTCAGTTGGGCCCTCAGTGATTGACATGATGCTTTTGTACACATGAAGAAAGCCTACCCTATGTACTCTTCTGGCAGGCAATGTATGGGGAGGGGGAAGTCAAGGAGAAACAAGCTGGAAAGAAAAGAGGTGCAGACAATAGTTCCTCCTTGGGATATGTCTAGAAAAAAGGAGAAAAAGGAGTGGACTGAAATTTCATTAAGCTTTGTGGCTAACTGCTCCCTCCACACACTCTCAAGTACTTGCTGGGTTGGATATGAATGAAGATGGGAGAGTCTGTCTAATGATAAACATATAGAAAGGGAGAAAAGCTATGAATTTTCTAATAAAATAGTATTATTTCCTAAATGAATCACAAAGCAAAGGAGGTAGATTTATTTCTGCATTTGGAATGGAGGATTCAAGGTCAAAAATAAAAAAGTATTTTTTTCAGTTGATAAGTTATTTCACTTTTATATTCCTTTTTTTTTCAACTCTCATTTTAAGTTCAGGTGTACCTGTGCCAGATATGCAGGCTTGTTACCTATGTAAACATGTGCCATGGTGGTTTGCTGCACGGGTCATCCCATCACCTAGGTATTAAGCCCAGCATCTGTTGCCTATTCTTCCTGATGCTCTCCATCCCCCAATCCCCCACAGGCCCCAGTCTGGGTTGTTCCTCCCAGTGTGTCCATGTGTTCTTGTTCTCATCATTCACCTCCCACTTATAAGTGAGAACATGTGATGTTTGTTTTTTTCTTCCTGCATTAGTTTGCTAAGGATAATGACTTCATGTTCCATCCATGTCCCTGCAAAGGACATGATCTTGTTTCCTTTTATGGCCGCATAGTATTCCATGGTGTATATGTACCATATTTTCTTTATCCAGTATATCATTGATGGACATTTTGTTTGATTCAACGTTTTTGCTATTATGAACAGTGCTGCAATGAATATGCATATGCATGTATCTTTATAATAGAATGATTTATATTTCTTTGGGTATATACCTAGTAATGGGATTGCTGGGCCAAATGGTATTTCTGCCTCTTGGTCTTTGAGGAGTCACCACACTCTCTTCCACAATGGTTGAACTAATTTACACTTTCACCAACAGTGTGAAAGCATTCCTTTTTTCTACAATCTCACCAGCATCTGTTGTTTTCTGACTTTTTAATAATCACTATTCTGACTGGTGTGAGATGGAATCTCATTGTGCTTTTGATTTGCATTTCTCTAATAATCAGTGATGTTAAGATTTTTTCATGCTTCTTGGCCGCATGTATGTCTTCTCTTGGGAAGGTCTGTTCAATTCCTTTGCCTGCTTTTTAATGTTTTTTTTTTCTTGTAAATTTGTTTAAGTTCCTTGTAGACTCTGGATATTAGACCTTTGTCAAATGGATGGATGGCAAAAATTTTCTCCCGTTCTGTAGGTTGTCTGTTCCTCCTCTGATGATATTTTCTTTTGCTTTACAGAAGCTCTTTAGTTTAATTAGATGCCATTAGTCAATTTTTGCTTTTGTCACAATTACTTTTGGCATTTTCCTCACAAGATCTTTGCCCCTACCTATGTCCTGAATGGCATTGCCTACATTTTCTTCTAGAGTTTATAAAGTTTTGGGTTTTACATTTAAGTGATTAATCCATCTTGAGTTAATTTTTATTTAAGGTGTAAGGAAGGGGTCTAGTTTCAATTTTCTGCATATGGCTACCCATCTCTCCCAGCATCATTTATTAAATAGGGAATCTTTTTCCCATTTTTTTTCTCAGATTTGTCAAAGATCATATGGTTGTAAGTGTGAGGTCTTACTTCTGTGTTCTCTACTCTGTTCCATTGGTCTATGTGTCTGTTCTTGTACCAGTACCATGTTGTTTTGGTTTCTGTAGCCTTGTGGAATAGTGTGAAGACAGTTAGATTGATATCTACAGCTTTGTTCTTTAATCTTTAGATTAGATTAAGCTAATCTAAATAGTTTGGGATTTTCTTGGCTATTCTGGTTCTTTTCTGGTCCCATATGAATTTTAAAATAGTTTCTTCTACTTCTGTGAAGAATGTTCATGGTAGTTTAATAGGAATATCATAGAATCTATAAATATCTTTGGGCAGTATATCCATTTTCACAATATTGATTCTTCCTATCTATGAGCCTGGAATGTTTTTCCATTTTTTCGTGTTCTCTCTGATTTCTTTGAGCAGTGATTTGTAGTTCTCCTTGAAGAGGTTTTTTATGTCTCTTGTTCGCTGTATTCCTAGGTATTTTATTCTCTTTGTAGCAATCATGAATGTGAGTTCATTCATAATTTGGTTCTTTGCTTGCCTATTAGTGTATAGGAATGCTAGTGATTTTTGCACATTGATTTTGTATACTGACACTTTGCTGAAGTTGCTTATCAGCCAAGAAGTTTTTGGCTGAGATGATGGAGTCTTCTAGTTATAGCATCATGTAATCTGCAAACAAAGATAATTTGACTTTCTGTCTTTCTATTTGAATACGCTTTATTTCTTTCTCTTGCCTGATTGCCCTGGCCAGAACTTTCAATACTACGTTGAATAGGAGTGGTGAGAGAGGGCATCTTTGTCTTTTCCCAGTTTTCAAGGGGAATGCTTCCAGCTTTTGCACATTCAGTATGATTTTGGCTGTGGGTTTGTCATATGAGGCTTGTATTATTTTGAGGTATGATCCTTCAATACCTAGTTTATTGAGAGTTTTTATCATAAAGGGATGTTGAATTTTATTGAAGGCCTTTTCTGCATCTATTGAGAGAGTCATGTGGTTTTTGTCTTTAGTTCTGTTCATGTGATGAATCACATTTATTGATTTGCATATGTTGAATCAACCTTGCATCTCGGGATGAAGCCAACTTGGTTGTGGTGGATAAGCTTTTTGATATACTGCTGGATTCGGTTTGCCAGTATTTTATCGAGAATTTTTGCATTGATGTTCATTGAGGATATTGGCCTGAACTTTTCTTTTTTTGTTGTTGTTGTATTGTATCTCTGCCAAATTTTGGTACCAGGATTATGCTGGCCTCATAGAATGAGTTAGGAAGGAGTCCCTCCTTTTCATTTTTTTTTTTTTTGAATAGTTTCAGTAGAAATGATACCAGCTCTTCTTGGTACCTCTGTTAGAATTCAGCTGTGTATCCTCTCTGGTCCTGGGCCTTTTTTGGTTGGTATGTTGTTTATTACTGCCTCAATTTCAGAACTCATTTTTGGTACATTCAGGGGTTCAATTTCCTCCTGTTTCACACTTGAAAGTGTGTATGTGTTCAGAAGTGTATCTGTTTCTTCTAGATTTTCTAGTTTATGTTCAGAGAGGTGTTTATAGTATTCTCTGTTTGTTGTTTGTATTTATGCGGGTTCAGTTGTGATATCCCCCTTATCATTTTGATTGTGTTTATTTGATTCTTCTCTCTTTTCTTCTTCATTAATCTAGCTAGCAGTTTATCTATTTTATTTTTTTTAATCTCCTAGATTTGTTGAATTTTTGAATGGTTTATTATGTCTCTATCTCCTTGAGTTCATCTCTGATCCTGGTTATTTCTTGTCTTCTGGTAGCCTTTGGGTGTGTTTGCTCTCGGTTCTATAGTTCTTTCAGTTGAGATGTTTGGTTGTTAACTTGAGATCTTTCTAGCTTTTTAATGTGGGCATTTAGTGCTATGAATTTCCCTCTTAACAACACTGCTTTAGCTGCATCCCAGAGATTTTGGTACATTGTCTCTTTGTTCTCATTAGTTTCAGATAACTTCTTTATTTCTGCCTTAATTTTATTATTTACCCAGGAGTCATTCAGGAGCAGGTTGTTCAATTTCCATGCAGTTGTGAGGTTTTGAGTGAATTTCTTAATCTTGAGTTCTAATTTGATTATGCTGTGATCTGAGAGACTGTTTATTATGATTTCAGTTCTTTTGCATTTGCTAATGAATCTTTTACTTCCAATTTTGTGATGAATTTTATAGTCGGTGCTATGTGGCGATGATAGTATATATTCTGTTTTTTTGGGGAGGAAGGTTCTGTTTATATCTATCAGGTTCGCTTGATCCGGAGCTGAGTTCAGGTTCTCAATATCTTTTTAAATTTTCTCTCTTGATGATTTGTCTAATATAGCCAGTAGGGTGTTAAAGTCTCACACTATTTTTGTGTGGGAGTCTAAGTCTATTTGTAGGTCCCTAAGACCTTGCTTTATGAATCTGGGTGCCCCTGTATTGGGTGCATATATATTTAGAATAGTTAGCTCCTCTTGTTGAATTGACTCTTTTAACATTATGTAATGCCTTAAACTAGAATTTCAATCCCTGCTTTTTGTGTGTTTTCCATTTTCTTAGTAAATTTTCCTCCATTCCTTTATTTTGAGCTTATGTGTGTCTTTGCAAGTGAGACCAGTCTCTTGAAGACAGAATACCTATGAGTCTTGTCTCTTTATCTAGCTTCCCATTCTGTGTCTTTTAATTAGAGCATTTAGCCCATTTACATTTAAGGTTAGTATTGTTAGGTATGAATTTGATCCTGTCATCATGATGCTAGCTGGTTATTTTGCAGACTTCTTTATGTGGTTGCTTCATAGTATCACCGGTCTGTGTACTTCAGTGTGTTTTTGTAGTGGCTGGTAATGTTTTTCCTTTCCATATTTATTGCTCCCTTCAAGAGCTCTTGCAAGGCAGGCCTTGTGGTGACAAATTCCATTGGTATTTGCTTATCTGAAAAGGATTTTATTTCTCCTTTGCTTATGAAGCTTAGTTTGGCTGGATATGAAATTCTGGTTTGGGAATTCTTTTCTTTAAGAATGCTAAATACTGGCCACCAATCTCTTCTGCCTTGCAGGGTTTCCACTGAGAGGTCTGCTGTTAGTCTGATGGGCTTCCCTTCATAGGTAACCTGGCCTTTCTTTTGGCTGTGCTTACCATTTTTTATTTCATTTTGACCCTGGAGAATGTGATCCTTATGTGTCTTGGGATTGATCTTCTTGTGGAGTACCTTGCCGGGGTTCTCTGAATTTCCTGAATTTGAGTGTTGGCCTGTCTTTCTAGGTTGGGGGAGATCTCCTGTATGATATCCTGAAGTATGTTTTCCAACTTGGTTCCATTCTTACTGTCTCTTTCAGGTACCCTAATCAAGAATAGGTTCAGTCTGTTTACATAATCCCATAGTTTTCAGAGGTTTTGTTCATCCCTTTTCATTCTTTTTTCTTCATTCTTGTCTATCTGTCTTACATCAGAAAGATATTTTTCCAGTTCTGAGGTTCTTTCCTCTGCTTGGTCTATTCTGCTATTGATACTTGTGATTGCATTGTGATGTTCTTGTTTTGTGTTTTTCAGCTCCATCAGGTCTGTCATGCTCCCCTATTAAATCAGCTATTGTGGCTACTAGTGCCTATACTTTTTCTATTATCAGCTTTAGCTCCTTTGCATTGGGTTACAACATACTCCTTTAGCTTAGCAAAGTATGTTATTACCCACATTCTGAAGTGTAATTATGTCAATTCAGCCATCTCTTCCTCAACCAAATTCTGTGCCCTTGTTGAAGAGGTGTTGTAGTCATTTGGAAAAGGAAATGCACTCTGGCTTCTTGAGTTTTCAGCATTCTTGCATTGATTTTTTTTCTCATCTTTTTGGGCTTATTTACTTGCAATCTTTGAGGTTGCCGGCCTTTGAATGTTTTTTTGAGGGTTTTCTTTTTGTTGTTGATATTGATGTTGTTGTTCCTTTCTGGCTTTTTGTTTTTGTTGTTGTTCATTTTTAATCAGCCAGGCCACTCTTCTGTAGGGCTGCTGCAGTTTGCTAGGGGTCTGCTTCAGACCCTAGTTGCCTTCCTTTTTCCCATACCTGGAGGTATCACCAGTGAAGGCTGTGAAACAGCAAAGATAGCAGCCTTGTCCTTCCTCTGGCAATTCCATCCCATGGGCACACTGACTTGTGGACAGCCCAAAAGCACCTGTAGGAGGTGGCTGAAGACCCCTTCTGGGAAGTCTCACCTAGTCATGAGGAATGGAATCAAGGACCTGCACAAAGAAGTAGTCTGGCTGTCCTTTGGAAGAGCAAGTTCACTGCACTGGGCAGGACCTTGCCTTGTCTGGACTGTTTGTGTTCTCCAAAGCCACCAGGGTGGAATGGCCGAGTCTACCAAACCACTGAGATGTGGCTGCCCTTCCCCCCAGGAGCTTCATCCCTGGGAGAGATCAGAGCTCTGTCTGTAGAATCCTTGCTGGAGTGGCTGAAGCCCTCACAGGGAGGCCTCGCCCAGTGAGGAGAAATATATCAGGGTATGACCTCTTAAAGAAGTAGTTTGGCCACGATCTGGCAAGGCAGCTGTGCTGCGCTGTGGGGGCCCCTCCTTGTCTGTATCACCTGTATTCTTCAAAATCTGCAGGCTGAAAGAACTAAGCCTACTGAACTACAGAGATGATGGCTGCCTCTCCCCTGAGAAACTCTGCTGAGACTCAGGCAGACTCTAGCCTGCTGCCATTGTCCAGCTGAAACTCCAAGATAGTGGTTCTCAATCTGCAAGGCACTGTGGAATTGGGGCTCACAGAACAATACCATTTGGCTCCCCAGACTCAGCCCCCTTCCTAGGGACATGCATGGAAGGATCTCTCACCTTGACGAACATCCTGGGGCTGGAATATGCAAAACTCTGTGTGTGCCTGGGGGACCACTCTGCTGAGACTCCACACAGCTCTATGTATTGGACCCAAGGCCTGGGTGGCGTGGGCTCACAAGAGGATGATCCTTGAGTTGCAAAGACCTATGGGAGAAGTGTGGTTTCTTGGGTGGGGTCACACAATCACTCACTGCTTCCCTTGGCTGGGGGTGGGGGTTCCCTTGGCTCCATGCCATTCCTGGTTGGGCCATCACCCCACCCTGCTTCTCTTCGCTCTTCATGAGTCCAGTTGTTTGCCTAAGTCAGTCCCAATGTGAGAACCCAGGTATCTTAGTTGAAGGTGCTGAATTCACTCCCTCCTTTCATTTCTCTCTGTGAGTGCCAGGGACTGCAATTGCTTCCAATAGGCCATTTTGGCTCCTCCCTCTGGGGCTAAGATGTTTTAATGGGAGAAAACTTAATGAAAGGAAAAGCCCCTTAATTTTTTGGTTGGTCTATCAAATAATATTCTACCAGGAGGTTCTATTCATTTATTATGAAGTTTTTAAGATCAATATAGTAGCCTGAATCTGGTGAAACAGCATCATCAGGCTCATTGTTAGGCCTACTCTGATCAAAAAGATCAGTTCTATAATTCCTTACATCCTAGAATTGGACCCCTGTCTCATTGGCCTTTCCTTATTGATACTCTAGTCCTTTAGATTTTGGAATATTGACATTTGACGCAATAGAAAATGCAACATACAAAGACGAAGGGGCAAAGGCCCATTATTCAATAACCCAGCTGAAATACAGATTGAACAATGTAAGTTATACGAGCAGCTAGTCTTCATGAACTGCTCATGGGCCTCTCCAATGCTGACCTCTGACTCCTACTGCTTTACCCCTCAGTCATTTTGCTTACATGTCCTAACTTCCCCTGTCTACTGTGGAGTCTTCCTAAATCCACTGTCCTGCCCCAGCAAGTTGGTCCATCTAAGAGAAAATTCTGATAATACTACAAGAAAAAATATAAGGTACTCTTTCTTTGATTGATAGATATCACAATAGTAATCTATCACTCATCTGGTAACACCAGTTCTTTCTCTGGTTACCAGTTGAATATCAGCCTGTGAAACGCCATGACATTCATAGTGAAAGGATTATATTTGCTTACAGAAAGAGCCTTTTAAACTGGACTCTGTATATGTTCTTGGCTTCTGCTAGCAGGCCCTACTCATGTGCTTCTAAATTTTTGAACTTGTACAAAGGTCCTAACTCAATATTAATATATTTAAATCTCTACTTAAAGAGATTGCTTCAGCTTTGACAGAACCCATTTTGAATAAAAATGCTCTTATGCCAGGCTGGATAATCTGCTTTAGAGAAAGCATTCTGAATCCTTAGGAGCTTGGTCCCCACTTTATTCCTTGTTACTCAACCTGTATTTTCCACTTTACTCCTCTTAGAGGTAAGGGAGGAGATTCCACATTAAGGTAATGAATTTGAGCCATGAGTAAGAGCAAAATTTTCTTTCCTGGGTTACGAAATTAAACAGAAGCAGAAGCTGTTACCAGTGTGACCTGCAGATAGGTAAAATGTTGCTACTTTAAGATATACTCTTGGCCAGGAGCAGTGGCTCACTCCTGTAATCCCAACACTTTGGGAGGCCAGGGCGGGTGGATCACCTGAGGTTGGGAGTTGGAGACCAGCCCGACCAACATGGAGAAACCTCGTCTCTACTAAAAATACAAAATTAGCCGGGTGTGGTTTCCCATGCCTGTAATCCCAGCTACATGGGAGGCTGAGGCAGGAGAATCACTTGGACATAGGAGGCAGAGGTTGGCATGAGCCGAGATCGCGCCATTGCACTGCAGCCTGGGCAATAAGAGTGAAACTCTGTCTGAAAAAAAAAAAAAAAAAGTAAAAGAAAAGAAAACAAAAGAAACACTCCATAGTTTCTGAATTTAAAGCTAAATTGAGCATTTAGTGGGTTTTTTTTTTAATGTTGGCTGTGATTAGTAAAGCATATCTTCTTCCAAGGGAAAAAACAAAAACAAAACAAAGAAAAACTTTGACCAAAATTTCTTGCTGTTAAAAAGCTTTTATGAAACAATTTAAGGAGAGGTAACCAAATGTTGGTAAATGGAAACTAAAGTACAGCTAGATAGAAAGGATATGCTCTAGTGTTCTATAGCACTATAGGGTGCTACATCAATAATTTAATGTATATATTCAACTAGCTAGAAGAGTGACTTTTCAATACTCCCAACAGACACTCACAAGGTAAATATTTCAGGTGATGAATATGTTAATTTTCTTGGTATGATCAAGCATTATTATAATGCTTACATTATAATAATGCAAGTAAACAAGCATTATAATGAAAGTGACTCATATACAAAATGTAAAGCTCTCTAAAACTGAAGCCTAAAATAATAATTTCTGCATAGTTTCTCTGCTTAAAATGTTCCAAAGTTGGCTGGGTGCAGTGGCTGCGCAGCAGCACTTGGGGAGGCTGAGGTGGGCAGATCATGAGGTCAGGAGTTCAAGACCAGCCTGACCAACATGGTGAAACCCCGTCTCTACTAAAAATACAAAAATTAGCCTGGCGTGATGGCGCATGCCTGTAATCTCAGCTACTCGGGAGGCTGAGGCAGGAGAATCCCTTGAACCCGGGAAGTGGAGGTTGCAGTGAGCTGAGATGATGCCCCTGCACTCCAGCCTGGGCGACAGAGCAAGACTCCATCTCAAAAAAAAAAAAAAAAGTCCCAAAGTTGCAATGATTTACTCATATGACTTCATATAATTTCATTAGAGATAACGTTTCTATAATTTTTTCTTTTCCTTCTGCTTCTTTCTCTCCTTTTTTTTTTTTTTTTAGACAAGGTGTCACTTTGTTACCCAGGCTGGAGGGCAGTGGTGCAATCTCTGCTCACTGCAGCCTCTGCCTCCTGGGTTCCAGTGATTCTCCTATGTCAGCCTCCCAAGTAGCTGGGATTACAGGTGCCTGCCACCACACCTGGCTAATTTTTGTATTTTTTGTAGAGACAGAGTTTTGCCGTGTTGGCCAGGCTGGCCTTGAACTCCTTACCTCAGGTGATCCACCCACCTTGGCCTCCCAAAGTGTTGGGATTACAGGTGTGAGCCACCGTGCATGGCCACATTCTGCTTCTTTGTTCTTCTCTCCTTCTTCTTTCTCCTCTTCCTCTTGCTGCCAAGAACTATAGGTGGATTGTTAGTTGCCTCCCATATAGTTATTCCCATTCTTCTTCCTAGTTACAAGAAACCCAATTTTGTTTACCCTACAAAACCTGGTATTTCCCCAGACCTAAGAATGACCTTTGAATAGGCTAAGCCAATCATGGGACTTCCACTTCCTTTGCCAATAATTGATTTAAGAATGAGCATATGGGCCAACAAGACACCAAGGAAAGTCTGCTGAGAAACTTCTGAGAAAGACCCCAAAGTCTGTGTTTATAACAGTTACTCTAGACTATCTCAAAGATTAATACAGAGATAAGGAACACTAACTGGGTCCTCATTCCAAGATATAATTGGTTATTTTCTTCATTAATCCAGCAAGGCTGAAGTTGTCTCCATTTACTCAAAACAAGGAACATTGTCTTGACCACTGGGGCTATGTGTAGCTATGTTGTAACTAAAAAGAAAGTGTCCTCATGACTATATATGGGATCTCTCTTACAAACTCATGGTCTACTTTGGAAAATTTCATGGCGTTGGTATTGGTTTACATGAAATACCTTAGTGAGATGGAGGCCTCAAATGGCAAGCACTATAAGGTCACATTTTCAGACTGTTACTGATAATATATGATACTGGTAGTGAAAGGCAAGGGACACCTGTTATATACTGAGGCAGCATGGTGCGGTGGATAGAAAACTAAATTTAGAGTTAAGGTAGACTTACATTCTGGCCCAAGCCCTGCTACCTCCCAAGGTGTGTGACTGGGTAAGTCTTAACCCCTTAGAATCTCAGTTTCTTCATCTGTCAGTAGGAGCTGAGAACTCTACCCAGATGAATATAGAGGCTTTATGGGATCAAATTAAATAGGGAGTGTAAAACTAACACCATTCTATGTAGACTGAACAAATAATTCTATTGCAGAAGATTTTAAACATCTTTAGGGTAGATGGTATCCTTCATATTTCTGTATGTTCTACATAGCAGAGAGTCGGGCACATAAAAAAAGCTCAATGGAGATTTGTTGATTGGTGAATTAAAATAATGAAGTAGCATAAGCAGAATAGTTTCCCCTTAATTTTCCACTTATTTTTCTCCTTGTTTCTTCCCAGAGATAAACAATTGCTAATGACTAATGGGTTCAATTCAATTCAAAAATTATATTGAGTCTCCTCTTTGTAACAGGCTAAGCACTGGTCTAAGCACTGCCAAGGATGCAAAGGTGAGTTAGACAGGGGCTAAAAAAAATAGTTTACCAGAATTGACTTATTTCATTGTATGTATTTTCCTTCTTAATCTCCTAATATAATGAGTTATAATGAGAGTTTTTTTAATGTGAAACATCTGTGCATTCCTGGGATAAACGCTATTTGTTCCTCCTATAGTTACACATTTACTGTTGGTTTTACTTAGTTAATATTTTACTTAGGGCGTTGTATTTACTTTTATAAAGCATGGATGTAAAATTTGCTTTTCCTGTATTTCCCTGTTTGTTTTTGTAATAAAAATTTCTCTAAACAATAAAAAAAAGACAGGGGCTGATAGAGGTAAGGAATTAATATATATAGAATTGATTATAGAACAATACATTATTTAAAATAGCATCAACATACAAACCTACTTCATTATTTCTTGGCAAAAGTGAGTACCAGAATCTCTGCAGTCACTGCAAAAGCACGGGACCTCAATTTGTCTCTTAGAAATGGTTCTGCAGACACATTGACTAATGGAACAGATAGAGAACCTACAAATAGGACTACACACCTACAGTTATCTGATATTTGACAAACGTGACAAGAACAAGCAATGGGGAAAAGGATTCCCTATTTAATAAATGGTGCTGGGAGAACTGGCTAGCCATATGCAGAATATTTAAACTGGGCTCCTTCCTTACACCATATACAAAATCAGCTCCAGATGGATTAAATACTTAAATGCAAAACGCAAAACTATAAAAACCCTAGAAGAAAACCTAGGCAATGCCATTCAGGAGATAGGCACGGGCAAAGATTTCATGACGAAAGTGCTAAAATCAAGAGCGACAAAGAAAAAATGGACAAAAGGGATCTAATTTAACTAAAAATCTGCAAAGCAAAAGAAACTATCATCAGAGTGAACAGACAACCTACAGAATGGGAGAAACTTTTTGCAATATATTTATCTGACCAACATCTAACATCCAGAGTCTACAAGGAACTTAAACAAATTTACAAGAAAAAAAACAAACAATCCCATTAAAAAGTGGGAAAATGACGTGAACAGACACTTTTCAAAAGAAGACATACATGTAGCCAACAAATACATGAAAAAAAGCTCAACATCACTGATCATTAGAGAAATACAAATCAAAACCACAATGAGATACCATCTCATGCCAATCAGAATGGCTATCATTAAAACGTCAAGAAACAACAGATACTGGCGAGGTTGTGGAGGAAAAGGAACACTTTCACACTGTTGAGGGGAGAGTAAATTAGTTCAACCATTGTGGAAGACACTGTGATGATTCCTCAAAGACCTAGAGTCAGAAATACTATTTGACCCAGCAGTCCCATTACTGGGTATATTCCCAAAGGAATATAAATCATTCTGTTACAAAGATACATGCATGCATATGTTCATTGCAGCACTATTCACAATAGCAAAGACATGGAATCAACCCAAATGACCATCAATGATAGACTGGATAAAGAAAATGTGATACATATATACCATGAGATACTATGCAGCCATGAAAAAAGGAACAAGATCATGACATTTGCAGAGACATGGACGGAGATGGAGTCCATTATCCTTAGCAAACTAATGCAGGAACAGAAAAACAAACACAGCATGTTCTCACTTATATGTGAGAGATAAATAATAAGAACACATGGACACATTGTGGGAGGACAACACACACTGGGGCCTGTTGGAAGGTATGGTGTTGGAGGAGGGAGAGGATCAGAAAGAATAGCTAATGGATGCTCAGCTTAATACCTGGGTAGTGGGAAGTGCAGCAAACCACCATGGCTCATGTTTACCTATGTAACACACCTGCACATGTACCCCTAAACTTAAAAGTTGGAAATTTAAAAAAATGGTTCTGTCCATTTTTCATCAGGAAAGCAAGTCAGAACTGCAAACTCCACAGACACCCTCACACATACAAAACACAAAAATGAAGATGATACTAGTAAGGACTAAGAACAGTATTAATATTTTTTTTAGTTTAAAGTGCAGTGTATAATGGGAAGAACTGTACTATCCTATGCTATATACCTTCAATACAAAGTACAATAGATGTGCCTTGGAGGGTTCCAGTTAAAATTTCTTTGGATGCTCAATCTGTTGGTGTGATTTAGAGAAACAGGACTCAAGAGAATATGCTCATTAAAACACACACACAAACACACACACAGAAAGAGAGAAAGAGAGAGAAAGAGATTGAAAGAGAGAGAGACAGAGAGAGAAAAAATCGTGTGCATAGTTGATTTGGTGGAAGAATTTTTTGGCTTCTTTGAATTTCCAACATGGACATATAAACAGTTATAGATTATTTTGAGTTGTTGAGGAGATATTTTTAGTGTATTTGCGATGCAGATTTAGAATTCTAATGATTTTCTTGTAGAGGTGTCTTTGGAAAATATTGCTGTATAGGTGGCATAATCACACTTTGCCCACAATCTCAGCACATTCATCATAATATTTGTCAAATATCTTTGTTAATCAGTCATTATATCCTGTTCCTAGTTTCTTCACAATTTCATAGAATGTATTTTTCTTCAAAGTGAATTGATTTCCTGGGTCATTCCTAAGTATACATGCATTTTTCTTATGTATGTAAGCCTCCTTTTACTTCAATAGAGACTCTAGGCATTAACTGAGAATAGATTTATTCTTAAGCTTTTCATAAATTAACTACCAAGTAAGATTCCAATGCCACATAACTAAAAGTTTCAACACAAAAAGAGTGCCAAAAGGGAAGGTGAATGAGGGTACACCAGCATGAGATACCTAATAGCTACTTTGCAAGGTTTACAGGAGTGCAGAAGTAAGCCTTTAGCAGTCCAAGTAAAGAGGTCTTATTAAAGCTTAAAGATCAAGGAGTAACATGTCAATGGGGGAGGAAAAAAATTCTCCTTATTTGGAAAAATTGTTGGCATTTGTGTCATTACCTATTTCCATTGATAGATGCTATTATTATTATTCTAATCTGCTCTATTTAGTAGCATCATTTAAATTATAAATCTTCATGCCAAATGTGAGGAAAGGAGGCATTTGCTCTGTGTTAGTTGCAACATAAACAGAACATGGGAGAAGACACCCCTTTCTTCCCAAGCTGTGTGGACAATATTTTTTTGTAGAACTCTTCTCAATAAGGTGGAGATATTAAAATTAAGCTGCTAAAACAAAAGTTAAAATTCTGAGAGGATAATTCCCTTAACTTGAAAATCAGGAAGTATAACTGATGTATTGATGAAAAACAGAACAAAGGCTGTCACATACTACAGTGTTCCTTTATGCAGGACCTCAATTTTTGCACTAGCACAGAAACTGGCAACCACACTGAGGTATAAACAGTACCTTTTGTGGACCTTGAGTTTGAAATGGGGGATTCTCAAGCAGGGTTTTCCAATCACGATCTGATGTAATTTTTTGGGAATAATAAGAAGTCAAGTATGTGCCATCAACCTGACTATAAATTTAGAGCATTCCTCTGTTGTGTATGCCTTTCTGGCTTCTATATTACCAAGATGCCATCATACTTTAGAATAGTTGGAGGCTTTGGGATATGCATACATTGTAGTTAGTGTCAAATACAAATAATAAAATTAAAATTAAAAAACTGCAAAACAAGAACAATCAAGGTAAATTCTGTAACATAAAACAACTTTGGATTTTATGTTCTTTAAGACTAAACTAGGAACCACAATTGTGGTTCAATTATGTTGAACCACAAACAAAACCAAACATGAAGGTAAAAAGAATATTTGGTTTAACAATCATATATAAAAAATGCAAGTGCCTGTGCTTTTATTGAATGGGAACCTAACTCTGAAGCTGTCACAAAGACAGCTTACTATCACTTGGTGCTATAGTATGGAGCAACTGAACCAACTGGGTATTCGCAAAAGCATTACTGGCACTAGATTTGAGTTTCTCACTTGCATTTCTCAGAACTAGAGTTCTCATAAGACCTTTCAGATAGCTATTTTAAAAGTCCCCAAAGATAGTCTAAGATGAGATTAGAAATTTTACACAATTTAGAAAGGTGCATTGAAAGTGCAAACATTTTTATCAGATGTACTTGGTTGTTCTATGTGGCAAAAAAGCAAAGTGATTTTTATAAATTAGGGTGGCACACAACTTCTCAACCTCGAATATATAACCACATCATTGTGATGGGATGATGGAATCTTTTCTCATATTTAAGAAAATGTTACATCCTCCTATTATCATAGCATACTCAGTCTACAGAGAAAACGTTAAATGGCCTGGAGAAACAATAATCTATTCCAGAAAGCAAATGCCTTCTATTACTTTCACTGGGGAGCACTAGCTCTGCTCCCAGGATCAAGCTATGTGTACAGGGAAAGAGTGGACCTGGAAAATAGCCTGGCTCTTTAAAGATCTAAACCAAACTTTTGGAATTATACCCAGAAACAGATGGCTGGCCAGCTCTCTGTGTAGCTGCTTCATTGTTGACAGAAGCAACTGGAGAACTCAGAAGAAATATGCTTTAGGATCAGTAGCCTATAGTCATGGGTAGGCTGGGAAAGTCTTAAGAAGGTTTCAAACGTGGTTAGTCCTGAATAAAATTCTAAGCAGGAATTTCTGTTTGCAGTATGGGGAGGAGATTCATGCTTCATGCCCTAGAGAATATTCTGATTATTTTCTCCTGCTTTAAAACCAGCTCTCTTCTTGATTTTCCCATTTCTTTTTGTGGCAGTAAGACAATATAGTGGCTAAGAATATAAACACTGACTACCTGGGTTAGAATTTGACCTTAAGCAAGTTATCTAACCTCTTGGAAATTCAGTGTCTCTATCAGTGCAATGAAGTATATAATAATACTTCACAGAGTTGTGGTAAAGATTAAATGACATAATCAATTTAAAGGGCTTAGCGCAGAAATCTGGCATTTACTGTGTTCAACAAATGTTTCATATTAAGGGCACTACCATTTTCCCAGTCTGGAATTCCCATTCATTCAAAACAAAATCTTTTTTTTTTCTAATGTTTCTCCTTCATATGACTTATTCCAGCAGCAGGCCTTGTAAAGAATGGCTCCTAGACTTCTTTGGAAGTTGTTCTTTTGTTTTCAGTGTTTCAATTATCAATATAGTTCACCACCTGTCACCAGGAATATAGACGAGCACCCCCAACTGGTTTCCCAATACATTTGCTGTCAGATTAATCTTCCTAAATAGAGTGCTGCATGTGAAGCCATTGCAAATGTGCTAGTCATTTAAATATTCCTAGTAGCATTGGCTGTGGGTGGACCTATTCTGCTGGTTTGTAGAATTGTTATATCCTACTCCACAGCATAAGCCCAGTGTTCCTACTACAAAAACTGGAGAACCCACGACAAGTACATCATTGCCATTGGTATAGTAATGATGCGCTCTGTAAGGACAAGAGTGTATCTGTTTTGCTCACCACTGTATTCTTATGCCAATCACAGCACAAGGCACATAGTAGATCCTCAGTAAATATTTGATTAATGAATACATGAGTTAATGGGTGAAATGGTATTATAGATACCCTTATTGGTTTAGCTTTATGTGATTGCATTTGTGGTAATTTCAGAAGATCATTCAAAGAAAGTTGACATCATTGCTTGGCATTCAATTACATGCCATGTTCCATTCAGACCAACTTATGATAATTTAGTCATCATTTGGCATGTGAGAACAGGGAAGTCATTTATAAACTTGAATGGTATGCATTCAGATGTAGTTAACAATGTGAGCTAGAATCAGCATAGCAGCCAGATCCCCATTTTCCAAAGACAAGAAAGTGAGAGAAATTGATTCTAGAAAAAAAGAAATTGTTACTGGGAAGGAGAGAATACAAGAAAGAGCCTAGCGGAGAATCATTTTTTTTAGTAGACGGAAGTGTGTTCATTACTGATTTCAACCCTAGGAGCAAGTGGCAGCTTATATTTTGCAGTTCAAAAAATATTCAGGAACTATTTAACCTTCCTGGAATGGATACAGACAATGGGTGTTGTTGCTATTCTATGATCCTAACACAAGTATTATTTTATATATTGAGAAGGAAACTGTGGTATCTGCCAATGTGAGACTGTGCCTGCATCACATATGTCCAACGGTAGCAAAGACCCATACCTAAAAGAGGATGCGTTGTTAACAAATAGGAGATGGCCAAATTCTTCAAAATCCAAAAGAGAAGTTAGATGTCAATTTATGTGACTATTCTTAGAAGTTTAACCTTTTCCAGTAAGACCTATATTCAGGTACTGTGGGATCTTAAGCAGTTCTAGAATGTTAAGAATGGTTGAAGGGTAAATAATAAGAAGAATAATTCTTATAAGCTTGAAACATGCGTATGTTACAGAATAAAATAACAATCCCAGGATAACAAAACATTTCACTCCCTATCCTTTTCATAATAATTTAAAAGGTATTTCCTCTTGCATTATACCAAATAATCCTCACAGCAACAGGACACAAATGAAGAAACTGACATCTGAGAAGACGAAGTGACTTGCTCAATATTATGTACCCAGAAATTGATCACATACTCCCTTGATCGTTATCATAATTTTGATCTATTCATCTGAAAAAATGAAAAGAATCCCTCTCCTTCTGCCCGACCCCATTTCAGGAAAGATATACTAAGATAATACATCACAATCCCGCCCAGAACCTTGCACTTACTAAGTAAATGTGCAAGAGCAACCATGAGTGTGGATCACCGGGCCAGACTAGCACAGACCATAGTGGAGATGTCACAAAGGTGATTGCAAGCGGAAGGCAACTGTAAAGAGAAACATTCTAGGAAGGTGAGAGTTCCTCAGCTTACACTAAAGGTTGCCTGATAAATATTAAATTATAATGGTCAATCTTGAGCAATAATAAGTGAAAGAACATAGGATGCCAATATTTCTAAGCAAACTCAAACATCCTGCTTTTTAAGATTCTGGCCCTAAGTAAGGCACAGGCTCCCCGCTGTTCCCCTCCATCCACCTTCCCATCTGTGGCCTATCCAAGAAAATGAATGCTGTCTTCACAAAGGTCCCACAGTGGAAACAGGAGACAGGCTTCTGAGTCAAGGAAACATCAGTGGGAAAAACGCCAAGTTGGAATTTTTCGGATGAAGGGGTGGCGACTCAACATATTTAAGTCCGTTTCTTAGGTAGATGAGTAGATGGTAAATTCTGTAGCAAAAGCTGTTTCTTTGTTTTGTTTTGTTTGATGCTGTTGTTTTGGTAAGTGCTACTGTCTTCACACAACAGACCTTTCTCCTGTCTTCTGCAGCGGGACTATTTATAAACTGTGTACCAGTGCTACCCCAGTCAGCAACCTCCAAAGCCTGCATTGTACTTGGTAAGGTTCTCTATCAGTATCACTAACCTGGAAAAACTGACTGTGAAGAAACAGCTTGATTATACTGGCTGCACATGTAAATGTTCCAAGAATAATTTCTAACTCAACCCCTTTGAAGTTATTGTTTTTTCCTCCATTAGATCGGTATTAGCATCTGGCTAAATTTTGTATCCTCCACCTCCACCTCCACCTTCCTGAACACATAAGTACTTATACACACACACACACACACACACACACACACACACGTTTTTTTTTTCCCCCTGCAGGTTTCACAGCTGGTGGCTGAACAGAAACAGTCTCTGGGTTGAGACTTTACACTGGTTTCCCTGACCTGGAAGAGTGAAAAATCTAGATTATTTCAGGAATTTATTGTAAGCTTTCCACCCTTCTCTGTCTCATCATGTCTTATCTACAAAATGGGGTGTTGGGGAGGCAGGAGCCCTATCTTTCTGATCTAGCATCGCCTTAGGTTGAGATATTAAAATTTCAAAACACAAGCAAGCAAATAAAAAAAATAACAATTTGTTGAAAGAATCAACTGGGTAACTATAAACAGGATTCTAGGTGTCCTTTAAAAGGAAGATATTATTATCAAGGAACAGAACCTTTGTAGAATGGCGCTTTGGGGGCCTGGGTGGGTCCAGAACTAAGGAAGTTTGAGTTACTGCCAAGCTACAGTCCCAGGCCCTGCGGGGAGTCAGGTCCAAGTTTGAGAAAACAGTCATAGTCAGGGGCTATTGTGGCCTGGACAGAGGCAGAAAGACACGACACAGCAGGCTTCCTTCCTGTCTTGCTCTTATCTGAAGTTGCAGAGAGTGGGTGGGAGTATGCCTGAGGTGCAGGTGAGGCACGTTTAGCCTGAGCCGGCCACGGACTCCACTTCCCCTGCTCTTCCCCCAGTGGCAAATCCGCGCCACCTCGCAAACCCCCAACTCAGGCACTTGGGCCCCTTTTGGGCCCCCTCTCGCTCCTCCCTTTAGGCACCTCCCTGGGCCCGCCCACGGTCTCCCCCCAGTTTGGGACTGCGTCATAAGTATCCCAGACCTCGGCTTGCAGTAGTGTTAGACTGAAGATAAAGTAAGTGCTGTTTGGGCTAACAGGATCTCCTCTTGCAGTCTGCAGCCCAGGACGCTGATTCCAGCAGCGCCTTACCGCGCAGCCCGAAGATTCACTATGGTGAAAATCGCCTTCAATACCCCTACCGCCGTGCAAAAGGAGGAGGCGCGGCAAGACGTGGAGGCCCTCCTGAGCCGCACGGTCAGAACTCAGATACTGACCGGCAAGGTAGCTGTCCCAGGGCGGGATGGGGGAGGGGTGGGCGAAAGAAAGAAGGCTGGTAGCAGAGGAGAAAATGTAGCTTCCCTGGGAGGGCCCCTCTTGCTCCTCTTACGCTGTCTCTGGGGTTTACCCGGTCGCCTCGGTTCTGTCTCCTTGCGGCACCTTCTGCTTACCGCACCCTCTGTCACTCTGCATTCCCGCGTGTCGTGCCATGTTCTGTCTGTTCCAGCTCACACCAGCTGTCCTGGAGGGAGGTCAGAGAGAGTTTGAGGAGATGCCCTGGGACTCCTTGTCATTGTCTCTTGGGTAACGTGTAGGGACCTGGGGATCAAGGAGGGGCATGTCGCCCAGTCCCCACCTCCAGGGGCGCGCATAGTCTCCCCAGGGACAGAGGGGACACAGGGGGGTGAGCAAGACCGGGAGATTTAACATTTCTTTCTTTCCTTTTGGTGTGGATGAAGTTCTAAGACTAAATCTTTCTATGATCTCTGAGTGTTCGTGGAGGTGGGGTGAGCAGCAAAGGGCACTTTTAACTCCAAGCAGTATGGGTTGGGGCAAGTGGTCTGCTTGAGCGCGCGAATATTTTCCGTTTCTCTCTGGTCATAGGTGGCTTTAAACATTAGATAAAGAAGCTGTCAAAATTGAGGTGGATCTTAATGCCAGTGTTGGGTGTTCACTGTGCCCTTTTACTGCAAGAGCCTTGTATATTTTTAGAGTGGTATTTCCTAAAGAAAACACTCTTCTCTTGTAAAAATAAATTTGAGGATACTTTTCAATTATTTTTAAATTTTTTTCTTGTTGAACAACATCCCCTTCCCTCTATTTAGAGATCTGAAGCAGGTCCAGTGTTGTAATTTAAACTACTAGCTTTGACAGGAACTGGGGAAGCTCTTCCCCAAAATGTTATCCATTATTTATTTAGTCCTATTTCTACTTCTTTTAAACACCTACTATGTTTTCAGGGTTCGTATACTACTCCTCAGTATAATCTCAATTTTAAAGGGCAATAGTATTGTCTTCGTGTTCTATGAAATCTGGAAAGTGTTGGCGCTTGCAGATCTGTCCTGACTTGTCTTGTTCTCTATATAGTTTTAACTTCTGTGTTCAAAGTGGAGATATAAAAAGTCCTTTGAGTTAAATGAGAATCCATGTAGTAAAAGTTGATTGTACACACAATTTGAAATGTTAATGTGCTTATCCAGCTTTTTATTATGGAAACTTTCAATATTAAATCCTGCAGTAAAACTAGCTTTTGTGTGTTATACATTTTAGAGCTCAAAAGTAACACCCTCTTGCATTGTTGAGGTTTTGATTAAATGACAGAGGTCAAATATGTAATTGTTCTCCTGCTTAGTTTGTAGGTTAAACATGGTCAGATTTTTTGGGAGGTCTAATTAGAGGCCAGTAGTTAAATATAGCCACACAGTAATCCTTTTTTTTTTTTTCTTCACCGCCAAGCATTTCATGACTTGTAGATAGATTCAGTTAATATGCAAGCAATACTTCTGCCAGGATTGTGGGTGCGATGAGGAATAAGCAAA
This sequence comes from Homo sapiens, assembly GCF_000001405.40. Taxonomy (NCBI): domain Eukaryota; kingdom Metazoa; phylum Chordata; class Mammalia; order Primates; family Hominidae; genus Homo; species Homo sapiens. Next base: position 79,365,569 of record NC_000023.11, on the reverse strand, counting down.
ACTGAGCATTTGCACTTTGATTATACTTTGCTGTTACGTTTTGGAGAAAACTTAACAGGATCCTTACCTGGCCACTATAGGACACTGATAATAATATTTGACATATTGTGTTGTAATACATTGATCAGCTAGCTCATTAGAGGTTGAGCATGACAAATATGATGTCAGACATAGTGTACAATCACTTCGAAAGAGTTCCAAGAGAAATTAGCTATGGTAATTGATGGCTCACACCAACCTAAAGTCCAATAAATGTAAATGAAAACAAAAAATCCTTATTTCTAGGATGTAACATCTTATGAAATTGAAATTCTAATACTTAGGCCTTGCTTAATAAACTTCCTGAATTATTGAAAGAATAAATGAAATTACAGTGCAAACTGTTCTTCTCATGTCTCAGTAGCAAGAAAAAATAAATTTATTTCTCTTAGAATTTCAAATTAAGCTATTATGTGACTTATGAGCAAGTTACTTTATCTTTATGAAACTCATTTTAGTCATCTAAAATATAATTTTAAGTCTCCAGTTCTAGATTATTGTACAGTAATTCCAAATCAAAATTTATAGTTCTATCTTTGTAGTGCTAATCTTAGTTTAGGTTTTTTTTTTTAATAAAAATAATTAAAAGTTCCTGAAAATTACTGGGACACAGAAAAGCCTTCAAGGTTTATAGAGTACTAATTAGTGGAGGGTTTGAACTTAAATAAATTTAGTTAAGAAAATGGGAATCTCAAATTTCTTTGACCTTCAAAGAAAAATATTTTTGGAAAAATAAACATTTAACAAATGATTGTCCTTTCATCTTCTGCATTAACTTGAAATCTATGCATTTGTTTTCACCAAATGAATTTAAGGTTAGTTAGCTCTGATAAACATTGCAGTAGTTGTCCTGAAAAAGAGCTAATGACCTAAAAGACTAAAACAATTCGATTTATATACACGTTTGAATGATTTACTCTTTAATGATCAGGGCCTAGATTTGCTTACTTCATTTATTCAGTCCTTGAGTAACAATGCTGCTTAGGATGTATTGTGACATACAAAAATGGGATTAGAAAGATTGGAGTCCACTGCCCTGGGAAGGGCACAATCAGTTGCTTGTTTGCTTTGGATCTTTCTTGTTTCAATCCCGAAGCAAAATATTGATTTAACAAAATATTACAGTCACTGTTACCACACAGACAACTTTTGTGTCTAGCTATCGCAAATGCTACACTTCAAAATCAAGTGTTTCACCCAGGACGTGGAAAATATTTCATTCATGCAATACACAGTTATAGAATATTGATCGATATTAAGAAACTTTTATTTCTCGATTAAATTAGGAACATTAAATTTATATCTCTCCCTTCAATATTTTAATTTCTAAAATATGGGGAAAATGGCATATACCTTATAGAACTCCTACCTTTAAAACCTAATTTTCAAAAATCAGCTTTTTGAAAAATCAGTTAATAAATTAATCAAAGGATACTAATTCTCTTTTAAGTTGACAAACTGATTTGGAAAAAATAATGAAGAAACAGAACCATATCCCAGAAAGTTAGTGATTATATCAGTGTACTAGTTCAAAAAGTAATTACTTCTGTTTACTGAGTATAATTTCTAGAGATCGGCTCTACTGCATTGTGCCTATTGTTAATACTATATTATACATTTAAAAATGTGTTAAGAGTCAATGTCGTGTTAAGTGTTCTTAGCACAGTAAAAAAGAATATGACATTGCATAAATAAATGGTAATTTTAATTTGATTCTTGATGCATGTATTTTGAAATAATTTCATATCGATATTTGGGTTTAGAAATGCCAAATGGAAGGTTAATATAATCAGAGACATTTTTTAACATCTATTAGATTCAGAAATTGTCTTGAAATAAATTCAGACTACAATTAAAATGAGTTAACATTTAAAAAAATATCTTGGGTTTCAAGGGAGGTAAATTGTACACAAAATCAACTATGTGTCTAAAAGTACAATCTGGTTTTGTTTTTGGTTTTGCTTTTTAATAAATAGGAGCTCCGAGTTGCCACCCAGGAAAAAGAGGGCTCCTCTGGGAGATGTATGCTTACTCTCTTAGGCCTTTCATTCATCTTGGCAGGACTTATTGTTGGTGGAGCCTGCATTTACAAGTACTTCATGCCCAAGGTAATAATAATAATTATAATTATTATACTTTGGATTACTACTTGCTAGACATTTAGTAGCAACTTAAAAAATTCTGTAGTGGTGACTAGAGAAAAGAAGATTTAGGGAAAGTTTTCAAGTTGCCTTTCAGTTCATAAAATTGATTTGTCTTCATTGTGATAACTGTAGTCAACAAGCCTCGGCTTAACACATAGTACAATGAATTGATATGAGTGTGAAAAGCCATTCAAATATCATGATAGTGATTATTAGAAGGTTGTAATTTTCCCTTTTTGTCTTTTAGAGCACCATTTACCGTGGAGAGATGTGCTTTTTTGATTCTGAGGATCCTGCAAATTCCCTTCGTGGAGGAGAGCCTAACTTCCTGCCTGTGACTGAGGAGGCTGACATTCGTGAGGATGACAACATTGCAATCATTGATGTGCCTGTCCCCAGTTTCTCTGATAGTGACCCTGCAGCAATTATTCATGACTTTGAAAAGGTGGGCTTCTCATTCTTATAAATATTCCAGGATTTTTTTTCTCTCTCTCTCTCTTTTTTACTTCATTGGCAGGTATTAAATTCATTCATGAATGCACATGTTTTTGAGGCAAAGCCTTTTCATTCTTTTGTTGTTGAATACACATTAGTTGATTTTGAAAGGATGTAGCCGCTTAATCTAATGGTAGTTGGAAAATTCGCAATGTTAATGCCTTCTGTGTCTTACCTGACTTTTTTCCCCTACCTAACAGGGAATGACTGCTTACCTGGACTTGTTGCTGGGGAACTGCTATCTGATGCCCCTCAATACTTCTATTGTTATGCCTCCAAAAAATCTGGTAGAGCTCTTTGGCAAACTGGCGGTATGTATTTTGGAAGTCAAATTTTTATATAAGCATTTCCAAGTAATTTTACTTCCTTGTTTTTTAAAAAAATAATGAATTTGTCCAAAACATTTTATTTTATTGAAATAATTTTGAAATAAAAAACGTTGTGAACCTAAAACTGCTCTAGAAAATAAAGATTATTTTTTACAGTCATTATCTGGTGTAGGAAAGGATTTAAATAGTGTCCTTAAGAATTTGGGCAAATGACATGAACAGACATTTTCCAAAAGAAGACATACATGCGGGCCACAAACATGAACAAAAGCTGAGCATCACTGAACATTAGATAAATGCAAATCAAAATCACAATGAGATACCATCTCACACCAGTCAGAGTGGCTATTACTAAAAAGTCAAAAAATAACAGATGCTGGTGAGGTTGTGGAGAAAAAGGAATGCTTATACACCATTGGTGTTGGTGTAAATTAGTTCAGCCATTATGGAAGATGCTGTGGTGATTTCTCAGACCTAGACAGAAATACTATTAGACCCAGCAATCGCATTACTGGGTGTATGCCCAAAGAAATATAAATAATTTTATTATAAAGACACATGCACAAGTATGTTCATTGCAGCAATATTTATAATAGCAAAGACATGGTATCAGCCTAAATGTCCATCAATGATAGAGTGGATAAAGAAAATGCGATACATACACACCATGGTATAGTATGCAGCCAAAAAAAAAAAAAAATCACAAAAAAAAAACAAGATCATGTCCTTTGCAGAGACATGGATAAAGCTGGAGGCCATTATCCTTACAAACTAACACAGCAACAGAAAACCAAATACCGTATGTTCTCACTTAAGTGAGAGCCAAATGCAAAGAACACATGGTCACATAGAGGGGAATAACACACACTGGGGCCTTTCAGAGGGTGGAAGATGGGGGAAGGGACAGGATCAGGAAAAATAACCAGTAGGTACTAGGCTTAATACCTGGGTGATTAAATAATCTCTACAACAAACCCCATGACACAACTTTACTTAAGTAACAAACTTGCACTTTTACTCCTGAACTTCAAAGTTAAAAAGGAAAAAGAATTTCTCATTTCAATCTTTGCTTTTGATTTTTAGAGTGGCAGATATCTGCCTCAAACTTATGTGGTTCGAGAAGACCTAGTTGCTGTGGAGGAAATTCGTGATGTTAGTAACCTTGGCATCTTTATTTACCAACTTTGCAATAACAGAAAGTCCTTCCGCCTTCGTCGCAGAGACCTCTTGCTGGGTAAGTAACTAATGTATTCCTTCCTTCACCCTGTGTTACACAGTGGAAGAAAGTGGAGGTAGAATACAGGAAAAAGTGGGGAACAAGTCTGGATATATTTTCATTTCCACAAAAATTTCAAAAGCCACTTTTTTTGCACATTTCCTTACAGGTTTCAACAAACGTGCCATTGATAAATGCTGGAAGATTAGACACTTCCCCAACGAATTTATTGTTGAGACCAAGATCTGTCAAGAGTAAGAGGCAACAGATAGAGTGTCCTTGGTAATAAGAAGTCAGAGATTTACAATATGACTTTAACATTAAGGTTTATGGGATACTCAAGATATTTACTCATGCATTTACTCTATTGCTTATGCTTTAAAAAAAGGAAAAAAAAAAACTACTAACCACTGCAAGCTCTTGTCAAATTTTAGTTTAATTGGCATTGCTTGTTTTTTGAAACTGAAATTACATGAGTTTCATTTTTTCTTTGAATTTATAGGGTTTAGATTTCTGAAAGCAGCATGAATATATCACCTAACATCCTGACAATAAATTCCATCCGTTGTTTTTTTTGTTTGTTTGTTTTTTCTTTTCCTTTAAGTAAGCTCTTTATTCATCTTATGGTGGAGCAATTTTAAAATTTGAAATATTTTAAATTGTTTTTGAACTTTTTGTGTAAAATATATCAGATCTCAACATTGTTGGTTTCTTTTGTTTTTCATTTTGTACAACTTTCTTGAATTTAGAAATTACATCTTTGCAGTTCTGTTAGGTGCTCTGTAATTAACCTGACTTATATGTGAACAATTTTCATGAGACAGTCATTTTTAACTAATGCAGTGATTCTTTCTCACTACTATCTGTATTGTGGAATGCACAAAATTGTGTAGGTGCTGAATGCTGTAAGGAGTTTAGGTTGTATGAATTCTACAACCCTATAATAAATTTTACTCTATACAACCACTGTTTCTTTTATTTCATCACTTGAGATATAGTCAATGTGAATAATTAATATTACTTATTTAGCTTTTGGTGTACCTGTAACAGATCTAAAATTATGAGGCCAACTTTGCCCCCATTCCCACCTACACATATTTATATGTTATATTTTCATATTTCACTCCCTTTTGACAGTATATTAATTACTCTTTTATAAACATCCCATAATTGGCTTATCATGTAAATTCAACTATTTATTTAGAGGCTTCAGGCGCATAGCACTTTAAAATCTTTTGAAGTGTTTTCTTTCTCATCAAATTAAACAACTATACACAGCTATAATGGATCACTAAGGACTAACCTTGGATAAGATGTTGATAGCTTTTAAGAACTTCAAATGCTGTGATCATTACTCATGTATCTAAGAGTCTAAACTTCATACCAAGGGGACATGAGTACTATAAACTATTTCCCTTGTATTAGGTGAAAAATCGCTCCTGATATCCCTTATTACCTGCTGGGATACCAACTATTGGTCAATTTCAGTAGCCAAAACTACTTAGTCGAATCCATACCCTTAAATACTACCATTATTTTTTAATGAAATAAATTAAACATTTAACTTTAAGAACTTAGAAATAAAGCGATGGCACAAACAATAAAGCATACAGAAAGCAAAATGCAGTATTTAGAAGATAATAACAGTAATTGATAAATTCAAGAACTGGCTCTTCATAAAGAAGAATATGTAAAAAGAGTCTGATAAAATTTAACACCCATTGCTTGTCTTAAAATATGCATAGAAATTTAGGAAAAAGGAAATACACTATTTCCAAATTTATCTTAAATAACATCACAACTAATGGTACAACACAGGAAAGGATGTTGGCTATTGAAGCTATTCAGTGTTGTTCCAGACATTCTGGCCAATGCAATAATATGTAAAACAAATAAAAATATAACTTTTAAAGGAGGGTTAAAATTATGTTTATTACTAGATAGATTTTTACATATAAGATATTAGTGGAATAATCAAAACTTTAAAAATTAATGAGAAGATTCAGTATGATAGAAACAAAAGCCAATTACTTTCCTTTATACCACAAACAACCAATTAAAGGGAAATACCACCAGGTAAAAAATATTCTCACAATAGCAACAGGGACATCAAGTAGCACCAACAAGAAATTTATGGAATTATTATAAAGAAAGCCATGAAACTTAATTAAGAGATATAAAATAAAAGTTAAGTAAATAGAGAAGAGAGGAAGAACATTACAAATAGACAAATTCTTCCACAATTAAATTTCTTGTTTTAAGCAATTTCAATTAAAATCCCAAAATAATTGGTTTTGGAACTTGGCAAAATTATTTGAAGTTTCATCTGGAAGCATAAATAAGTTAGAATCACTAAAGAAAAAAATGAAAAAAGAGTAATTGGAGACAGGATGTCTTACATGAACAACTATTAAACCACAGCCAAATTCACAATAGTTTTAAAGGTAACTTTCACACAAGATAGAAAATTATGATGCCAAGAAAGAGATTCTAGTGTGTAAAAGAACAGTATCCTAACAGAAGCTCCATGCAACGAGATACATTGTATATCCAATTTTGCCCCCAAATCTGGCTAAATGAAAACAAACAAACAAAAAAGTCCTAGTGGCCATCGTATAAAATAGCATAAGGGTAACAGCCCTCCAAATGCAGCATCTCCTAAATTTTTACTACTAATGAATATTTCTTAAAAGAGAAAAACCTTTAAAAATGCTAAAAGTATAACTGAATGATAACCTGATGCTGGCATCCATGAGTAATAGATATCTGACAGAGACTAGCTCTCTGATTGTTTTTCCAGAAACTCAGAGCCCCAAATCTGTCAAAAAACCAAACAACGCATATTCTCACTCATAGGTGGGAATTGAACAATGAGAACACATGGACACAGGAAGGGGAACATCACACTCTGGGGACTGCTGTGGGGTGGGGGGAGGGGGGAGGGATAGGTTTAGGAGATATACCTAATGCTAAATGACGAGTTAATGGGTGCAGCACACCAGCATGGCACATGTATACATATGTAACTAACCTGCACATTGTGCACATGTACCCTAAAACTTAAAAGTATAATAATAATTAAAAAAAAAGAAAACTCAAAAAAAAAAGAAAAGTGGGCAGTCATAGATCTAAGAATTGTGTGAATCATAGTTTTAGGTATCATAACTTGTGCCACGTTTCTATTCTATCCATTCACTCACCCTCACATGATTATTCATTCTCTCATTTATTGTTTGTCAGGAATGGGAATGGATAGAGTTCTGAGCAAAACAGACATAGACCCTGCCCCTATTAAGCATATAGTCTCCTGGGGAGTAAAAGGCTTTTTCAAATAATTCAGCTACTTTATTATAAAGAAGAATTATAGAAGCCTATGAGAGTTTATAATGGCAGGGGTGAGAATCCTGGACTAATAATTAAGTCTCAACTTACTGTGAAATTTGAGCAGAAAGCTGAAGTATGAGTAGTATAAATCAGGTAAATTTCAGGCAGAAGTCATTGGAAGCTAAGTCCCTGAGGCAGGAAGGAATGTGGTTGTTGGAGAAAGTGAAATAAAAAGGGCCTGAGCACATTGAGTAAAGAGAATTATATGAAAATAAGTTGGAAAATTAGGGAGAGTCCAGATCATGTAGGACACTATAGGCTATGTAAAAACACACAAACAAAAAACTTTTGTCTTTGTACTTAAAGTAATAAGAGACATTTGAAGGGTTTTAAGTAGGGTCATGAATGAGAGCCGATTGGTATTTTTAAAAGATTACTTTGACTGCAATGAGAAAAAATATATTACAGGGAGACAAAAGGGAAAACAGTAAGACCAATTAGGCCATTCCAGTAGTCTAAGCAAAAAATGATAATGGATTGGACAAGGAAAGTGTCAATGATAAAATAAAGAAGTAGAGGAAATAAAGATATATTTTTGGCATAAAAGTGATGGAAAATAATTATAAATTGCATATTTAAGAAGAAGTATATCAAGGAGTTTTGTCATTGATGAGTCCCAGGTGTCTGGCTTACATCCTTGGATGAAAAATAATATGACTTGCTCCTGCAGATCTCAAAATTTACTTGGGTTAAACAGTGGGAAATTGATGTTTGATGTGCCATTCAGAGTTTCAGCAGTAAACAGATGTCACCCTCAAACAGAACAATGAAGAGAGGTTAATAAAGTGACAAAGTATAAAGTGTAAAATGAGTTAATAAATAATAAGTCCCAATGAAGCTCACTAGGTTTAACAACACTGGTGAGGCCTCATGACCTCTACCCTTGAAGAGGCAAGGGGGAAAACTAGCTATAGGTGAAGACTTTCCCTGACAGGAGCTGCAGTCTTTGGTAGAGGGACACAACCACTTTGTCCTTTAATCTCCTGTTGGTGTCTCCCATTGACCAAACTCAACTAGAAGCCAGAAGAATAGGAGTGCCTTGATGCAATCCACAAAGGACAGCCCCCTTGATACAAGCAGAAAAGATGAATGAAGAGTGGCTCCGGAGAACCTGACTGAGAGTATCCAGCATAGCCCACTTTACTTTTCTCCACAGCATCCACTCTTTTTGTTTATCCAGATAAAGTATTCATGTCCCCAGCATAGAGAACACATAAATTCTCATTAGCTACCATCCAATTTCAAGATATTGTCAATTCTACATTTCTACCTAAAACTAAAATGTTAGCCACCACCATTACTCTTTATATAAGGCAACTTGAGTGGGAAGAGGGAAAAAGAAGTCAAGTAAAGCATGGCTGCTTCAGTTCTTGATTTCTAGCTGTTAAGGGGTCAGAAGTTGGTCATCATAATCTTCTTCTTACACAACCCGTTCCTTATCTTCCTATGCCATCTGCAGCATCTTGGCTGGATGGGTTTTGTTTTACCTAGTGGAATAATTCAGATATTTTTCACTGCAGGGTTTGAGTTGTTGGCAATCTTGTATTTGTAGCAGTTTTTCATTGAAAATGGCCATTCGGCCAGGAAGGAGACAAGGCACCTGAGTGAATCTTTTGAGTTCCAGTAATAGTTTTCCTTGGTTCCACTGTTTAGTAGCAGCACAATTTTCCCTTGATAATTATAATTAATCACCTCAGCAAGTACAGCAATTATTTCTCTGCCTGTTGGTTTGTGGAGAGCCACAGATGGCTAAGAATCAGTCTCAGGATCCAATTTAATGGAACCATGACTCCATTTTCTGGTGGAAGTACTCCACCCCTGAGCAGTAGGACTTGCACACCCACTGTATTAATCTGTTATTGCACTGCTATAAAGAAATACCTGATACTGGGTAATTTATAAAGAAAATAGGCTTAATTGGCTCACAGTTCTGCAGGCTTAACAGAAAGCATGGCTTGGAGGCCTCAAGAAGCTTACAATCATAGCAGAAGGCAAAGAGAAAGCTAGCACATCTTACCATGGCAGAGCAGGAGAGTGGGGAAGAGAGAGAAAGAGAGAGAGAGAGGAAGTGCCACACACCTTTAAACCATCAGATCTCAAGAGAACACATTCACCATCATGAAAACAACAAGGGGATTATCTGCCCCCATAATCCAATCACCTCCCACCAGGCCCCTCCTCCAATTAGACATGAGATTTGGTCAGGGAAACAAATCCAAACCATAGCATTCCACTCCTGGCCCCTCGCAAATCTCATATCCTTTGCACCTTTCAAAACCAATCATGCTTTCCCAACAATCCCCCAAAGTCTTAACTAATTCCAGTATTAACTCAAAAGTCTAAGTCCAAAGTCTTATCTGAGACAAGGCAAGTCCTTTCCACCTATGAGCCTGTAAAATTCAAAGCAAGTTAGTTACTTCCAAGATACAATGGGGATACATTCATTGTGTAAATGCTCCCATTCTAAAAGGGAGAAATTGGCCAAAACAAAGGGGTTACAGGTCCCATGCAATTCTGAAACCCAGCAGGGCAGTGATTAAGTCTTAAAACTCCAAAATAATCTCCTTTGACTCCATGTCTCACATATAGGACATGCTGAAGCAAGGGTTAGGCTCCCTATGACATGAGCATCTCCACCCCTGTGGCTCTTCAGGGTGCAGCCCCCATGGCAGTTTTCATGGGATGGCATTGAGTGCCTGTGACTTTTCCAGGCTCACGTTGCAAGCTGTTGGTGAATCTACCATTCTGGAGTCTGTAGGACAGTGGCCCTCTTCTCACAGTCCCACTAGGCAGTGCTGCAGGGGGTACTCTGTGTGGGGCATCCAGCCCCATATTTCTCCTCTGCAATGCCCTAGTAGAGGTTCTCCATGAGTGCTACGCCCCTGCAGCAGACTTCTGCCTGGACATCCAGGCATTTCCATACATCCTCTGAAATCTAGGCAAAGATTTCCAATGCACAACTCTTGTCTTCTGCACACCTGCAGGCTCAACACTACATGGAAGCCACTAAGGCTTGTAGCTTGCACCCTCTGAAGTAAAGACCTGAGCTGTACCTTGGCCACTTCTAGCCACAGCTGGAGCTGGAGCAGCTGGAATGCAGAGCACCATGTCTGAGGCTGCACAGAGCAAGGGTCCCTGGGCCCAGTCCATGAAGCCATTTTCCCTGCTAGGTCTCTGAGACTGTGATGGGAGGGACTGCCATCAAGGTCTCTGACATGCCCTGGAGACATTTTCCTCATTGTCTTGGCTATTAACATTCAGCTCCTCTTTACTTATGCAAATTTCTGCAGCCAGCTTGAATTTCTCCCCAGAAAATGGGTTTTTCTTTTTTATCACATAGTCAGGCTGCAAATTTTCCAAATTCTTATGCTCTGCTTACCTTTTAAACATAAATTCCAATTTCAGACCATCTCTTTCTTCAAGCATATAAGTGTACACTTTTAGAAACAGCCAGGTCATATTTTGAATGCTTTGCTGCTTAGAAATTTATTCTGTCTGACATCCTAAATCATCTCTCTCAAATTCAAAGTTCTACAGATCTCTAGGGCAGAGGCAAAATGCTGCCAGTCTCTTTGCTAAAGTATAGCAAGAGTGACCTTTATTCCAGTTCCCAATAAGTTCCTCATCTCTTTCTGAGACTGCCTCAGCCTGGACTTCATTGTCAATATCGCTATCAGCATTTTGGTAACAACCATTCAAGAAGTCTCTAGGAAGTTCCAAACTTTCCCACATCTTCCTATCTTCTGAGCCCACCAAACTGTTCCAACTTCTGACCATTACCCAGTTCCAAAGTTGCCTCCACATATTTAGGTATCTTTGTAGCAATGCCCCCACTCTTCTGGTACCAATTTTCTGTATTGGTTCATTTTCATACTGCTATAAAGAAGTACCTGAGACTGGGTAATTTATGAAGAAAAGAGTTTTAATGGACTAACAGTTCCACAGGCTTAACAGGATGCATGGCTGTGAGGCCTCATTTTGAAAAGTGAAGTGGAAGATAACATATCTTACTATGGCAGAGCAGAAGAGAGTCAGAGTGAGCGGGGAAGTGCCACACACTTTTAAACCATCAGATCTCATGAGAACTCACTCTCTATCATGAGAACAGCAGGGGGAAATCCGCTCCCATGATCCAATCACTTCCCAACAGGCCCCTCCACCAATTAGACGTGAGATTTGGTCAAGGACACAAATCCGAGCCGCATAAGGCACTAAAATCAAGATTCAGGGAACAGGAAGCAAAAGTTTCTTCAGAGCATTGTTAGATAGATATAATATTATTATATAATAATAATAATAATAATAATATAAAAGGGACACTCTCACCTCTCTTTATGGGGGAAAGGACAAAATTGACTGCTGCTTTAAAGTTTAGCCTGAAGGGTAGCACCTCAATCTTACAGGTTGCTGTCTCTCAACTGAAATAATATTTGAATCTTTTTAGGATATCATTCCTCATGTTATGTTTTAAGGATCCAATACATGTTATCACTAATTTTATGCCATGCAGTTTAGGTTGCATGTCAGTTTGTGTCCCATGGTCAAGGAATTTAGTCTCTACTGGGCCTGTTAGAAAGATGGGAATAGTATTTCAATTTGGAAATAGTTATCATAAGAAGAGAGCATGACTTTACTACGTAAGCTTAAGAGTTGGTGCTATAATTATCCTAGAGCATTTTTGTCTTTTGTAGAAACTTCCAATGCTATTGTGTCTGATGGTTTATAAGGCACAAATGGCAGAGCAACTTGCACTGGTGCCTAGATCTACTGTAAGTGTTTTCTTCCTCTAGACCAAACCCAAGACTTACAGCCTTATGGGTTACCTGGTAAATGAGTTGGAGCAGCAAACCTAAGTGTGGTATGTGTTGCCTCCAACATCCCAGAAGTTCTACCAAGCATTTTATCTCTTTTTTCACGACAGACAGCACAAGAGACAATGAATGTTTCTCACCTTAGAAAGAATATACTGACAGGCCCAGACCACTGGACTCCTGGAAAACATCAAACTTATGACAGGACTTCTAAATATGCATGTATCTTACTAAGGCACTAATAATGCTTGTTTCTTTCTGCTCATCAATTCTACTTAGCATAATGTCATAAATACAATAGAACAGTATGATGTTTTGTTGGGGATACAAACATAATTCGTGTTACTTTTGGCCAAATTGTAAGAGAGAAGACAAAATTATGTCTCCCTAATATAGGAAGGTAAGGCAGACTACTTCTTCTTCTTTTTTTTTTTGCTGACAGAAATGGAAGAGGAAGAAGTTATGTGTTATGTAAATAGCTACATATTAACTGCCAAGAGCAGTGTTTACTTGCTTTAATAAAGACACCACATTCAGAACTAAAGCTGGAATTTGCTTTATGCTCTAATTACGATTGCAATAATCCATAGTCATTTTCCAAAACACATCTGGCCTTTGCCCCTAGCCAAATTAAATTAAATGGCAATATAGAAAAAATAACACTTTTTGGATTGTGGAGGCATCTGATGATAGTAATAACCTCTGCAATTCCTTTCTCTTTTGGTTTACAGTCTTGGCAGGGAGTAAGGAGAGTTGTAGTGACTCTTGCAATAGCCCTAACTCATGGATCATGAAACCAGTATGGGGATTCTTCCAGTTGCTGAATATGTATTTTCCCACTACACATTTTGAAAATTGGGAATAAAATATAACATTAATCTGCAGTCTAAATTCCGCCTCAGGGAGATAGACTTGGGCTATGACTTATTTTATCTTCTGATGTTGATAGCCCCACACTCTGATTTATAAACTATGGTGGAATTCCAGGTGTCCAAGATTCAGTACCAGCTCAGGGCTAATGTCTAATAGCTTCAAAAATGGACATTTCTTCTTCATCCAGTCATCCAGATAAATGGATTTGGATTCCTCTGGACAAAGATTGGGGGAATACTAAATGTATGCAACTGTGTCTCCATTTCTGGGTTATTCATAAAAGGCATCCAACCTCCCTCAAGCAAGGGTCTCCAATTCTGTGGACATTCTTGGGCATGGAAACTGAGTACAAGGCTGCAAACCCCACTGTGGTCACTCAAGTTAGGTTTCTGTACAATAGACTTCAAAGTTTTCTGTCTAAATGTGCCAAACAGCAACTTAATAGATCGCTTAATTTATGCCTAACAATGTCCTGATTAGTTAGCCATTATCATAAACTCTTGAAAGACAAAATACGTTGCTTTGACCCTTTGTTTCATTTAATATGTCAATTGCTTTCACCTTGTGCCTAGGCTTGACCAGTTTAGTACTCATTGTTCTCAATGTTGTGGAGAGGGATATGATAAAAAGTTGAACACAATATGTCCATTTCAACAGTTGCATCTCACTGTCTTCAGAATCCTTTCCATATAATGTAACAGGGAAGTTTTGGCATTTCACTAACTATAAACCACTGCTATATACAAGTTTCAATTTAACCAATCTCGCAGAGAGTTATCACCATTCTTTGGTGCTCATACCAACATATTTCATCTTAAAATCTAAATGAATGCATGCACATTATTTAACTTGGCTTAATCAATTTTTATATTCCTTCCTCCATGGTCTGTCCTTATAATACGTTCTCATGTATATTCCCAATATTTTTGATGGTGCATATTGTCAAAGCCAAACACTCTTTTATCAAAAGAACATGCCAATTTTCCTCATGGGGAGTATAAGCTCTATATATGATATGGTTTGGATTTGTGTCCCACCCAAATCTCATCTCAAATTGTAATCCCCACGTGTCAAGGGAAGGACCTGTAATCCCCAGGGACTGTGGGGAAGTGACTTAATTATTGCAGCAGTTTCTCCCATGCTGTTCCCATGATAGCGAGTGAGTTCTCAGGAGATCTGATGGTATTATAAGCATCTGGCATTTCCCCTGCTCGCACTTCTCTGTCCTGCTGCATTGTGAAGAAGTTGCCTGCTTTCCCTTTGCCTTCTGCCGTGATTGTAAGTTTCCTGAGGCTTCTCTACCCATGCAAAACTGGGAGTCAATTAAACCTCTTTCCTTTATAAATTACTCAGTCTCAGGTATTTCTTTATAGCAGTGCAAAAATGGACTAATAGAATATATAAACCAAAAGTGTTACATCTTATTTAATCCATGTCCATTTGTGCTTCTGTAAAATTACCAGCCTGGATAATTCAGAAGAAAACAGAAATTTATGTTTATATTACAGTTTGGGAGGCTGGAAAGTCCAAGTCCAAGGTGTCGGCAGGTTGGGTTAAGGCCAGATTTTCACTTCCAAGAAGGAGTCTTGTTGCTGCATCATCTGGAGGGGAAGAATGCTGTGTTCTTACATGGCAGAAGGAATGGAAGGAGCACAGACACTACTCAAGCTCTTTCATAAATTTGCTAATCCCATTCATGAGGGCTCTGCCAGCACTATGTAATCAACCCCTAAAGGCCCCACCTCTTAATACTATTGCATTTCTAATTACATTTCAACACATGAATTTTGGGGGAGCATTCATATCATAGCAACCCACTTGGAAGAGTATAAGAGAAAACTTGAATATGTTTAAATAAATTGGCAGAAAGGGACCATTAGAGAGGCACAGGTTTAAGATACAAGAGACATGAGGACATTAGTGGAGCTAGGTTTTTGAGGAAGTGGTAGGAAAAAGAATAAAAAAGCACAACTAAAAAGATAATCCTGGCCAGGTACGGTGGCTTATGCCTGTAATCCCCGCACTTTGGGAGGCCAAGACGGGCAGATCACCTGAGGTCAGGAGTTCGAGACCAGCCTGGGCAACACGGTGAAATGCTGCCTCTACTAAAAATAGAACAATTAGCGGGGAATGGTGGTGGGCGCCTGTAATCCCAGCTACGCGGGAGGCTAAGACAGGAGAATCGCTTGAACCCGGGAGGCGGAGGTTGCAGATCGCACCACTGCATTGGGCGGCAGAGCAAGACTCCACCTAAAAAAAAAAAAAAAAGACCAGGCGCAGTGGCTCACGCCTGTAATCCCATAATCCCAGCACTTTGGGAGGCCGAGACGGGGATCATGAGGTCACGAGATCAAGACCATCCTGCCTAACACGGTGAAACCCCGTCTCTCCTAAAAAAAATACAAGAAATTAGGTGGGCATGGTGGTGGACACCTGTAGTCCCAGCTACTTGGGAGGCTGAGGCAGGAGAATGGCATGAACCCGGGAGGTGGAGCTTGCAGAGAGCCGAGATCGTGCCACTGCACTCCAGCCTAGGTGACAGAGCAAGACTCCGTCTCAAAAAAAAATAAAAAAAAAAAATCCTTAGATAGAAAGAGGGAGTTAAGTCTCTTCCATTCCATTGAACTAGAAAAAATAGGAAATTATTAACAAAATTTGACTTTTATATTCGAAAGTTCAGGATAATTTATTTGATATCTCAAAGTCCAGGACGGTAAGGTTGAAAATGTGATCATGAGAGTAGATGACTGAAGTGGAGAGGAAGTAAAGGTGATGGTGATGAGAAAATCAAGAACCAAGAGGCCAGTGCATTGGATGTGTTGCTCGCATGAATATTGATGTAACTGAGAATAACGAAAGTACCTGAGATAGAAAACTAAATGAAGCAGGTGTCAAGTTTTTCAATAAATGATGGAGGAGTAGGAGTGACTAGGTAAGTAAATTTTGACAACAAAGACTGGAGAGTAAATTCAGAGTCAATGAGCACCCAAAGAAAAAGAGTTTTTATGAGATGAGTAATGATAGTCTGAAAGTATCTCTGATGAGATTTTAGGATCGTAGCCATTAAAATCAAGAACAAGAGGGGGATTAATGCTACTATTCAATGAAGTACTAATTGAAATCTTTTTCTATGCAGAAAATCCAGAAGAATTGACTGCCAAACTATTAAAACCAATATAATAACCGAGTAGGATGTTTTATGAAACATGTCAAATTAATTTTAAAATCTGCATAGAATGGTATTTATAAATAGCCAAAATAATTTTGAAATAAGATTACAAAGAAATTTGTCTTGTTCTATAAATATTTATTGCTGAAGTTTTGTAATTAAAACAAAATGTTTGGGACTTGGAAAGGAATAGAGAGTCCAGATTTTATATATATATATATATATACACACACACACACTCTTACATATACATACACACATATATATATACACATATAGATATATTTATGCATGTGTATGCATGTCTACATTATAATATGGCATTAGTAACTAATATAAGCATAACACAAAAGAAGCATGTGATGTCGGGGAATGATGAGCTAATTAATGAATATTTTTGGAAAAATTTTCTGTACATTTGGAAAGTAAGGTTAGATTCCTTTGTTGTTGTTGTTGTTTTATTGTTTTCCAACTTTAATTTTTATTTTTAAAATTGTATTGTATTTCAATAGTTTTCGGGCAACAGGTGGTTTTTGGTTACATGGATAAGTTCTTTAGTGGTGATTTCTGAGATTTTAGTGCACCTTTCACCCAAGTAGTGTACACGATACCCAGTGTATAGTCTTTTATCCTTCACCCTACTCCCACCCTTTCCCCTGAGTCCTCAAAGTCCATTATATCATTCTTATGCCTTTGTGTCCTCATTGCTTAGCTCCCACTTATAAGTGAGAACATATGATATTTGGTTTTCTATTCCTGAGTTATTTCACTTAGAATAATGGTCTCCAACTCCATCCAGATTGCTGCAAATGCCACTATTTTGTTCCTTTTTATGGCAGAGTAGTATTCCATATATATACCAAATTATCTTTATCCGTTCGTTGGTTGATGGGCATTAGGCTGGTTCCATATTTTTGCAATTGCGAATTGTGCTGCTATAAACATGCGAGTGCAAGTGTCTTTTTCATATAATGACTTCTTTTCCTCTGGGCATATAGCCATTAGTGGGATTGCTGAATCCAAGGGTAGTTCTACTTTTAGTTTTTTAAGGAATCTCCATACTGTTTCCCATAGAGGTTGTACTAGTTTATATTCCAAGCAGCAGTGTAAATGTGTTCCCTTTTCACAACATCCATAACAACATCCATTATTTTTTTCATTTTTTAATTATGGCCATTCTTGCAGAAATAAGATGACATCTCACTGTGGTTTTAATTTGCATCTCCCTGATAATTATTGATGTTGAGCATTTTTCATATGTTTGTTGGCCATTTGTATATCTTCTTTACAGAATTGTCTATTCATGTTCTTTACCCAATTTTAATTATTTATTTATTTTTTCCCTGTACATTTGTTTGAGCTCCTTTTAGATTCTGGATATTAGTCCTTTGTTGGATGCATAATTTGCAAATATTTTCTCTCATTCTGTGGGTTACCTGTTAACCCTGCTGATTATTCCTTCTGCTGTGCAGAAGTTTTTTAGTTTAATTCAGTCCCATCTATTTATTTTTACTTTTGTTGCATTTGCTTTAGGGCTGTTGGTCATAAACTCTCTGCCTAAGCCAATGTCTAAAAGTTTTTCTGATGTTATCTTACAGAATTTTTATAGTTTCATGTCTTTGTTCCATCTTGAGTTGATTTTTCTATAAGGTGAGAGGTGAGAATCCAGTTTCATTCTTCTACATGTGGCTTGCCAATTATCCCCAGCACCTTTTGTTGAACAGGGGTCCTTTCCCCACTGTATGTTTTTGTATACTTTGTGAAATATCAGTTGACAGTATTTGGCTTTATTTCTGGGTTCTCTATTCTGTTCTATTGGCCTACTTTCCTATTTTTATACCAGTACCATGCTGTTTTGTTGACTATAGCCTTGTGTTATGGTTTGAAGTAGGATAATTTGATGCCCCCAGATTTGTTCTTTTTGCTTAGTCTTGATTTGTCTATGCAGGGTCTTTTTTTGGCTCCATATAAATTTTAGAATTGTTTATTTCAAGATCTGTGAAGAATGATGATGGTACTTAGATGTGAATTGCATTGAATCTGTAGATTGCTTTTGGCCATATGGTAATTTCCACAATATTCATTCTACCCATCCATGAGCATGTAATGTGTTTCCATTTGTTTGTGGCATTGATAATTTCTTGCAGGAGTGTTTTGCAGTTTTTCTTGTAGAGATATTTCACCTCATTGGTTAAGTATTTTATATTTTTGCAGCTGTTGTAAAAGGGATTGTGTTCTTGATTTGATTCTCAGCTTGGTCGCTGTTGGTGTATATCAGTGCTACTGATTTGTGTACATTGATTTTGTATCCGAAAACTTTACTGAATTCATTAATCAGATCTAGGAGCTTTTTGGATGAGTCTTTAGGGTTTTCTAAGTATATGGTCGTATCATTAGTGGACAGCGACACGTTGACTTCCTCTTTACCTATTTGAATGCCCTTTATTTCTTTCTCTTGCTCTGACTAAGACTTCCAGTACTATATTGAATAAAAGTGGTGGAAGTGGGCATCCTTGTCTTGTTCCATTCTGAGGAAGAATGCTTTCAAATCTTCCCTGTTCAGTATAATGCTGCCTGTGTGTTTGTCATAGATGGCTTTATTATCTTGAGATATATCTTTTCTATGCCAATATTCCTGAGGGTTTTAATCATAAGGCGATGCTGTATTTTGTCAACTGTTTTTTATGCAACTATTTATATGGTCATACTATGTTTGTTTTTAATGCTGTTTATATGATGTATCACATTTATTGACTTGCATGTGGTAAAGCATCCCTGAATCACTGGTATGAAACCCACTTAATCATTCTGGATTATCTTTTTGATATGCTGTTGGATTCAGTTAGCTAGTATTTTGTTGAGGATTTTTGCATCTATGTTCATCAGGGATATTGTTCTGTAGTTTTCTTTTTCTCTTATGTCCTTTCCTGATTTTTGGTATTGGAGTGATACTGGCTTCATACAATGATTTATGGGAGATTCTCTCTTTCTCTACCTTTGAAATAGTTTCAGTAACATTAGTATCAATTTTCCTTTGAAAATCTGATAGAATTCAGCTGTGATTTCATCTGGTCCTGGACTTTTGTTGTTCTTGTTGGCAATTTTAAAATTACAGTTTCAATCTCACTACTTTTCGTTGGTCTATTCAGAGTTTCTATTTCTTCCTGATTTAATCTAGGAAGACTGTATATTTCCAGGAATTTATCCATCTCCTCCAGATTTTCTAGTTTGTGCATGTAAAGGTGCTCACAGTAACCTTGAATGATCTTTTGTACTTCTGTCATATCAGTTATAATATCTCCCATTTTTTTTCTAGTTGAGCTTATTTGGATCTTCTCTCTTTTCTTGGTTAATCTAATGGTCTATCACTTTTGTTTATCTTTTCAAAACACCAGTTTTTCCTTTCTTTTTTGCATTATTTTTTGTTTCAATTTCATTTAGTTCTGCTCTGATTTATGTTATTCCTTTTATTCTGCTTGATTTGGGTATGGTTTATTTGTGTTTCTCTAGTTCCTTGAGGTGTGAGCTTAGATTGTCTATTTGTGCTCTTTCAGACTTTTTTTTTTTTTTAACTGATTCTCACTCTGTTGCCCAGGCTGGAGTGCAGTGGTGCTATCTTGGCTCACTGCAAGCTCTGCCTCCCAGATTCACTCCATTCTCCTGCCTCAGCCTCCTGAGTAGCTGGGACAACAGGTGCCCGCCACCATGCCTTGCTAATTTTTTTTATATTTTTAGTAGAGATGGGGTTTCACCATGTTAGCAAGGATGGTCTTGATCTCCTGACCTTGTGATCTGCCCGCCTTGGCCTCCCAAAGTGCTGGAATTACAGGCGTGAGACACCACGCCCAGCTGCTCTTTCAGACTTTTTAATGTAGGCATTTAATGCTATGAATTTTCCTCTTAGCACATCTTTTGCTATATCCCAGAGATTTTCATAGATTGTGTCACTATTATCATTCAGTTCAAATCTTTTTTTAATTTCCATCTTGATTTCGTTATTGTCGCAAAGATCATTCAAGAGCAGATTATTTAAATTCCCCGTATTTGTATAGTTTTGAGGGCTCCTTTTGGGGTTAAATTCTACTTTTATTTCACTGTGGTCTGAGAGGATACTTGATATACTTCCAATCCTATTAAATTTATTGGGACTTGTTTTGTGACCTATCACATGGTCACATGGTCTCCTATCTTGGAGAATGTTCCATGTGTCAAGCAAAAGAATGTATATTGTGTTGTTGTTGGGGTCTGTAAATATCTGTTAAGTACATTTGTTACAAGGTATAGTTTAAGTCCATTTTTTCTTTGTCGACTTTCTGTCTTGAAGACCTGTCTAGTGCTGCCAGTGGAGTATTGAAGTTCTGCACTATTTTTATGTTGCCATCTAGCTCAGTTCTTAGGTGTAGTAGTGATGGTTTTATAAATTTGTGAGCTCCAGTGTTAGGTTAATATATATTTAGGATTGTGACATTTTCCTGTTGGACTAATCCTTTTAAAATTATATAATGACCCACTTTGTCTTTCTTTTTTTTTTAACTGCTGTTGCTCTGAAGTCTGTTTTGACTGGTATAAGACTAGCTACTCTTGCTTGCTTTGGTTTCCATTTGCGTGGAATATTTTTTCCACCCTTTACCTTAAGTTTATATGAATCCTCATGTGTCAGGTGAGTCTCTTGAAAGCAGAAGATACTTGGTTGGTGGATTTTTATCCATTCTGCCATTCTGCATCTTCTAAGTGGAGCATTTAGATCATTTACGTTTAATGTTAGTATTGAGATTTGAGGTACTGTTCAATTAATCATGCTAGTTGCTTCCTTAAAATCTTTTTCCCCATTGTGTTATTGTTTTATAGGCCTTGTGATGTTTATGCTTTAAGGAGGTTCTATTTTGGTGTATTTTGAGGTTTTCTTCCAAAATTTGGAACTCCTCTTACTACTTCTTGTAGTGTTGGCTTGGTAGTGGTGAATTATCTCAGTATTTGTTTGTCTGAAAAGGAATTTTTAACTCTCCTTCATTTATGAAGCTTAGTTTTGCTGGATAAAAAAAAATTTGTGGCTGACAATTATTTTGTTTCAGGAGGCTAAAGATGGGACCCCAATACATTCTGCCTTGTAAGGTTTCTGCTTAGAAATAGGTTTTTCTTTATAGATTAACTGATGCTTTTGTTCCATAGCTCTTAAGATTTTTTTCCTGTGTCTTGACTTTAGACAACCTGATTCCTATGTGCCTACATGATAATCTTTTTTTGATGAATTTCCCAGTTGTTTTCTTAAGCTTCTTGTATTTGAATGTCTAGATCTCTAGCAAGGCTGGGGAAGCTTTCCAGTTGTTTCCTCAAATAAGTTTTCCAAACTTTTAGATTTCTCTTTATTCTTGGGAATACCAATTATTTTTAGGTTTGGCCATTTAACATAATTTCAAATTTCTTGGTGGCTTTTGTTCATTTACTCAATTTTTTAAATTTGTCTTTGTCTGATTGGGTTAATTCAAAAACCTTGTCTTCGAGCCTTGAAGTTTTTTCTTCTACTTGTTTTAGTCTATTGCTGACACTTTCTAGTGCATTTTGTGTTTCTCTAAGCGTATTTTTCATTTCCAAAAATTATGATTGTTTCTGCGTTGTGATATCTGTTTCTCTGGATAATTTTTCATCCATATCCTGTATTGTTTTTTAAATTCATTCAAGTTGGTTTTCACCTTTCTCTGGTATCTCCTGGAGTGGCTTAATAATCAACTTTCTGAATTCTTTATCTGACAATTCAGAAATTTCTTCTTGGTTTTGATTCATTGCTGGGGAGCTAATGTGATCTTCTGTAGTTGTTGTATAACCCTGTTTTGTCATATTACCAGAATTACTTTTCTGGTTCCTTTTTACTTGAGTAGACTATTTCAGTGGAAAATCTGGAACTCAAGGCCTGCTGTTCAGATTCTTTTGTCCCACAGGGTGATCCCTTGATGTGGTGCTCTCCTCTTTCCCTTAGGGATGGGGCTTCCTGAGAGCTGAACTGCAGTGATAGTTATTGCTCTTCTGGCTCCAGCCACCCAGCTGGGCTACCAGGCTCTGGGCTGCTGCTGGGGAATGTCTGCAAAGAGTCCTGTGATGTGATTCACTTAAAGTCTCCCAGCTGTGGATACCAGCATCTATTCTGGTGGAGGTGGCAGTGGGATGAAGTAGGCTCTGTGAGAGTCTTTGGTTGTAGATATGCTTAGTGTGCTGGCTTTCTCAAATGCTGGTTATGCAAGCAGTGAAGTTGTCACTTGGACAGAGTCAGGACCTCTGGTTAGCCTAAATGTTGCAGGCGGTGAAATTAGTTGTTGTTTTATCCTTCCTTGTAGCTGGGTCATTTTGTCATGAGTTGCTGTAATGGCCTGAGTTGGTTGGCAGGAAGTGGTGTTTTCAAGAGAGCACCAGCTGCAGTAGTAGTAGGGGGTTCTAAGCAGGTGATGGGCAGGGCCATAAAGCTCCCAAGAGTTTCTGTCTTTTGTGTTTGGATACTAGGGTGGGTAGAGAAATATCGTCACGTGGGGGCAGGTTTAGGTGGGTCTGGGCTCACACTCTCCTTGTGCAGGGCTAGTGGCAGCCACTGTGGGGGATGGGGTGTGGTTCTTGGGCCAATGGGGTTATATTTCAGAGGGGATTATGGCTGTCTCTACTGTGCCATATATTTCATCAGAAAAGTGGGGTATAGCCTGTAGCAAGAGGCTTCACTCAGCTCCCACACAGCTGGTGAGGCCGGTCTTGCTCCCACAGTGCCCTGCTCAGAAGTTACCCCAGGCTGTACACTTCTCCACTGGGAAAGCAAGCACAATTATCAGGCCTTGCTCCTCCCTCTCTGCCCACACTGTCAGTGGCAGCTTCTGTGTTTGTATATACAGCAGTTCTTGTTTGCCCCCCAAATTAGTTTTTTGCCTGTCTCATGAAATTTGCAGTGGCATGCCACTTCTCTCAAAGAATCTGTGAATTCTTTTGGTTTTCCTGTTACATTCCTGAAGTAGTTCTTGAAGCAAAAGTTCATGGTGTGAGTCTCCACATGTTGTTCTGTCCATCCAAGTAAGAGCTGCACATTAGCCCTGTCTCTTATATGCCATCTTCCTCCCTATCTCTACTGTAATTTTTACACTTTTTTGGGGGCTTGGGAACAGAGCATCATTTAGTCTAAGGTTGATTTTGGCCACTATAAAGACAAACTCTGAGTACTCTATCTGAAACGTAAAGTTTGATTCTAAGATTCTAAGCTTACACCCTTAGCAAAGCATTCTTGCAGGGGCATTGGTAACATAATGTAAAAAAAAGTAAGTATAGCCAGGCTCAGTGACTCACACCTGTAATTCCAGCTTAATTGGAGGCCAAGGCAGGAGGAGAGCTTGAGCCTAGGAGATCAAGGCTGCAGTAAGCCGTGATTGTGCCACTGAACTCCAGCCTGGGAGACAGAGTAAGACCCTGTGTCCATAAAAGTAAAAATAATGCAAGAAAAATAAATTTTGAAAAATATGATACAACCTTAGAATATAGGACAAATTCCTTAAGCAAAAAAAAGTAAAAATCAACTAGGAAAAATGTAATAATTATATATTTCCCTATATCAAAGTTTTTTAAAAACCATATTTCTCAACAACATGTTGACTGGAGGAAGACATTTATAATGTATATAACTGATGAGACATCCACATTTTAAAAAATTTTCTACATATATGTAAGAAAAATGAATAAAGAATAAGAAAATACAAGTCACAAAAATGTAAGAGGAAATATATCTGGTAAATAAAACCATGAAACAATGCTCAATCTCTTTAGTACTCAAGGAGATACAAATTAAACAAGGTGAAATATAGGCACTATTTGTGACTCAGTAATTTTTCTACTTGGTTTTATCTCTGGAAACCACTTATATACATGGTCAAAGAATACTACACTGAATGCTTATTGGAGCATTGTTTGTAGGAGTGAAAAACTAGAACAAAGCAGATGCTTATAAATACTAATATTTGACACTTACTGCATGATTCAAATGTGGCAGGTATTATTCTAAAGGCTTTACATGTTCTACTATATTTACCCTCCACATCAATCATATGAAGAAAGTATTATTATTTGCATTTTATTTATAAAAATGAGTCACAGGAATATTAAGTAATTTGTTCCAAGTTCCCAAGATTAGAGTCTGATAATCCGATGACAGAGCTAGTGTTCTTAACCACTGTGATACTATATAGTGAATTGGCTAAATAGTCTATTATATGAACTATGAATTATAAATGGCAGTTAAAAATAAGGTTCAGTAAAGTATAGATCCCTAATATGTAGATTTAATGAGATAGATCTTAGTATAAATATCTCCAACATATATTGTAGAATGAAGAAGACATTGCAGAAAAATATCCAGTATAATAACATTTATTTTTAAATTCCCTGTATATAGTCTATATTTTCTACATATACATAGAAATGTGTGAAGAGCACATGGGAAAATATCTAAAAGGACGAGGGAGGAGGCAGTGGACAGAAATTAGTAGTGGGTGCATTTATCCAAAAAATTTCAGCTTTATCTGTAAGTATTAATTGTATAAATTAATATTTTAAAGGAGAGTTAAAGACAGGTTTACAGTCCAGTGTTTTAAGATGCTTGGAGGTCATCATTAGGCCCTAAGAACAAGTAAACTGAAAAATCAGAAAACTCAACAACTCTTTGTAGATCCATAAGAAGTGAGGTCACAGGGAAAACCACTGCTCCCCAAACTGGAGAGACAGACAGAAAAATACATAAAAGAAATCAAAGCAGGAACGTCTGTGGAAACAAGTGCCAGGGTAAGAAAACTTAAACTGTAAATGATGAATTGTTTGGGCTCAATGTGGACTAGTGTTTGAGATAAAAACTCCAGGTAAGCCCAGTCATCAGGAAGCTCCCACATTTTTGTGAGTTTTACTTCCTGGATTTATTATACCAGACCTCACAGTGAATATCAAAGAAAATTATCCTCATGGTTCCAGGAAGAAAGGAACCATTTTGAAATACATACGTGAATTTTCTTTTTATTAAAAAGCTCTTTCCTCAGGAGAAACTAACCTGCTGGGGTTTTATCAGAGTCTAACAAACCTGGGGAAAGGAAAAGATGCAACTCCAGCCCTCTCTTCCATGTTGGAAAAGAAAAAATGTTTAATGTAGACCACAATAGTCATCATAAGTGTGGTAGCAGTATACTGAGAAGCACTTGCAATGTTCACAATCCAGAGGTACAAGCTCACTAAAAATCTGAGACCTAATCGTAAAACTGTAGAACTATTTCTCACCCCTATACACACTATATTACCATATTGCTAAAGACCTATTTAGAGCAGTTCTTTTTACCCAGGACATCATGACTGGATATCAAGAAAAGAACTTGGAACCAACCCAAAAGCCCATCAATGATAGACTGGATAAAGAAAATCTGGCACTTATACACCATGGAGTACTATGCAGCCATAAAAAGGATGAGTTCATGTCCTTTTCAGGGACATGGATGAAGCTGGAAAACATGATTCTCAGCAAACTAACACAGGAATGAAAAACCAAACACCGTATGTTCTCACTCATAAGTGGGAGTTCAACAATTAGAACATGTGGACACAGGGAGGGGAACATCATACAATGGGGCCTTTCAGGGGGTGGGGGTCTAGGGGAGGGATAGCATTAGGAGAAATACCTAATGTAGATGACGGGATGATGGGTGCAGCAAACCACCATGGCACGTGTATAACTATATAACAAACCTGCATGTTCTTCACATACATGTACCCAAGAACTTAAAGTATAATAAAAAAAGAAAATAATTACAAATCATACTAAAAGAAAAAAATACAGTTTGAAGAGACACATCAAGTGTCAGAATTAGATTCAGTTATGGCAAGGATGTTGGAATGGTCAGGTAAGAAATTTAAATATATTATGACCAGTATGCTAAAGGCTCTAATGGGTAAAGTAGACAGCATGCAAGAATAGAAGGACATTATAATTAGAAATGAAATTATAAGAAAGAAGCAAAAAGTAATGTTAGAGATTTAAAAAACTAAAACAAATGAAGAATGCCTCAATGTGCTTACTAGGGAATTGCACACAGCTAAGCCAAGAATATTTGAGCCTATCTCAATAGAAACTTCAAAAACATAAGAGAAAAAAAGAAAAAAAGAAAAACCAAAACAGAACAAAATATTCAAGAACTGTGGGATAACTACAAGAGGTATAACGTTTGTGTAATGGCTGTATTAGAAGTAGAGGAAGAAACAGAAGTAATATTTGAAACAATGAAGACTGAGAATTTTCTGCAAATTAATGTCAAACACTAAACCACAGATCCTGGAAGCTGAGAAAATACCAAGTAGGATATAGTAAAAAAAAGAAAAAGAAAACAAAAAGAATTCAAACCTAGGCATGCTATACTCAAACCACAAAAATCAGAGATAAAGAAAAATTCCTGAAAAGAGTTAGATGGGAAAAAACCTTCCTTACACTAAAGATAAAAATTACATCACACTTGTCCTCAGAAATCATGCAAGTAAGAGGAGAATGCAGTTACATATTTAAAGTGTTGAGAGAAAAGAACTACTAACCTATAATTCTGTATCTAGCAAAATCATCTTTCAAAAGTGAAGGAGAAACAAAGACTAACCCAAAAGAACAAGCATTAAGGAGGTTTCCTGCCAGTAGACCTGTTTTGCAAGAAATGTTAAAAATTCTTTATAGAGAAAAATAAATGTCAGAAATGAAAAGAATAAAAGGGCACCAGATAAAGGATAAATGAGGGTAAAATAAAAACTTATTTTTCTTATTTTTAGGGTCTGCCTGAGTCCAATATATTTCTTATTCTTAACTGATCTAACAGATAGTTTATTTAAAATAATAAGAGGAACAATATATGTCATTATGTATTTGTTTTTACATATATATGATGTACATATGCATGTATACTTACGTATAAGTGAAATGAATAACAACAATTATACAAAAAATGGAATGGAGGAATCAGGTTATTTTTGTTATTATAAGGAACCCATACTACCCATGAGTAGTATAGTGTTATTTAAAAGTGAACTTAGAGTAGTTGTAAATGTATTTTTGCAAATACTAGGGCAACCACTTTAAAAAGTGTAAAAAAAGTGTGACTAATATGCTGAGAAAGGAGAAAAAATGAAATCATATAAAATGCTCAATGAAAACCACAGAAGGCATAAAAAGTATAATAGAAAAATTAAAAGATCAAAGGTAAAGAAATAGAAAATAGTAACAGATAATGTAGACATTAATACACCTATACCAATTATAATTTGGAACATCAGTGTTCTAAATGCACCAATTAAAAGCCAGAGATTATCAGAGTTTGTAATAAAAGAAAACCCAAGTATGTTCTCTACAGGAAAACTGCTTTGAATATGAAAACAATGGTAGCACTAATTGAAAGAAAGTGAAAGTAAGGAGTGACATCAGCAATATAGCGGAATAGGAGTTTCCATAGAAACAACAATTTTGGTAAAGACTCACAGGTAAGAATATTTCGTGAAATCCCTGGAGTATAGCTGAGGTTCCAGCACTCTAGTGGACAAAATCCCCAAGAGTAGATGCATTGAAGAAGGTAAAAAGAGAAGTTTCACTTTACTTGCATCACCCCTATCCAAAGGCAACACAATTTGGTGCTGAGAGATCCCCTGCGCCTATGATTTCTCCCACAGAAGGAAGGAAAATTAAAGTGAGCATCCAGCTTTCACAGTCTTGTAGGAGGCGGCCCAGGAGGCCTACTGTTGTCTCACCCCATGCAGCCCAGAACACTTATGGGATTGACACTGCCAAATCATCAGGGGAAGCTTGAAGCAGAGGGAAAGGGAGGGAGCACACAGTAACCAGTGCATATTTCTCAACAGCTAGCCAGTGATTCTGCTAAATGGTTCATAGACTCTACCAAGATACCCACTCAAGAAGCCTACAGAACAACTCACTTGAAGACATTCCAACTACCTGGCACATGCCCCAGCACCCCTTCACCCATTGTTGGCACCCTTCACATCCCTGTAAACAGCATGCACAAGCTCTCAGAGAAGGCACACAAGTTTGAAAAACAGATGCAGATCTTAGCAGCTGGCTCAACTTTGCTGGTTTCAGAGAAGGCTCCACAGCCTCAAACACTTCAGGGCACTGCCATAGGAAAACGTATAATAGAGGTTCTCAGCACCAGGCCTGGATTTGTGGGGTCAAGAAAAAGCATACAATTGCAAGACTGCTTCCCAAAGAGAGAACAAGAGAAGTGGAGCAAGGAAATGTATATAAATTTCTGAAAGTCCCCCTAAATTCCTAGAAGGGCTTCCTGGTGAAGGATCTTCTGTCCCAAAGCCAGTCAGTAAAGACTGGAGAATGTGACTACTTATTCAGATAGAAGACAGCAATGCAAATCTTCAAGGAATATAAATAACCCAGAAAATACAGACTGTCCCTGGAACAACAGCAACAAAAAGAATAAAAAGGTGTGAATGAAGCCTGCTGAACTTAAGAGAAACTATCTCACACACACACACACACACACACACACACACACACACGTCTCAGAATGATCAGAGAAAAAAAAGGAACAGAAATCTTAATAAGTAATGACAAAACTTCCAAAATCCAGAAGGAAGAAAGAATATCCAAGTCTATGAACATCAACAAACTTGAAGTAGTTTGAGCATGAAATGGTCTTCACTGAGAAACAGTATAATCGAATTATCAAAATAAAACACAGAACTCGAATGCTGCAAGAGAAAAGCAACTTGTCACATACAAAAAAACCTCCACAAGGCTATCAGTTTATTTGTCACTAGAAATCTTGCAGACAAGGAGAAAGTGAAATGATATATTCAAATTGCTGAAAGGAACACCTCCCAAATAACAATATTATGCCTGGCAAATCTACCCTTCAGAAATAAAAGAACAATAAAGACAGAAGCTGAGGGAATTCAGACCACTAGACCTACAATACAAAAAAAAAAAATCTAAAGAGAGATATTCAAGTTGAAAAAAGTGATGCTAATCAGCAACATGTAAACATATGAAGATATAATACGCAGAAGAATGAAACTGGACCCCTACATATCACCATATACAATAATGAACTCAAGATGAATTAAGGACTTAAACAGAAAACTTCAAGCTATAAAAATCATAGAAGAGGAGCTAGAAAATATTCTTCTGGACCTCAGCCTTGGGAAATAATTTATGACCAAGTCCTAAAAAGCAATTCCAACAAAAACAAAAATTGACAAGTGAGACCTAATCAACCTAAAGAGCTTTTGTACGGCAAAGGAACAGAGTGAGCAGACAACCTACAGAATGAGAGAAAATATTTGCAAACTATATATCTAACAAAGGACTAATATTCAGAATATGTAGGGTACTTAAATCAACAGGAAAAAAACTCTAATAAAAAAAGAAAGAAGTTCACAAAGACATGAACAGACACTTCTCAAAAGAAGACATACAAGCAGCCAACACATATATAAAAATGCTCAACATCACTAATCATTGGAGAAACGCAAATCCAAACCACAATGAGATACTATCTCACACTAGTCAGAATGGCCATTATTAAAAATTCAAAAAATAGCAGATGCTGGTGAGGCTGCAAAGAAAAGGGAAAACTTACACACTGTTGGTGAGAATGTAAATTAGTTCAGCCACTAGGGAGAGCAGTTGGGATATTTCTCAACGAACTAAAAATAGAATCACCATTGATCCCCCCAATCTCATTACTGTGTATATATGCAAAGGAAAAAAAATCATTCTAATGAAAAGACACATTAACTTCTATGTTCATTGCAGTACTATTCACAATAGCAATGACATAGGATTAACCTAGATGCCCACCAACAGAGAATTGGATAAATAAAATATGGTTTGCTTACACCACGAAATACTATGCAGCCATAAAACCAGATGACATCATGTCTTTTGCAGTAACGTGGGTGTAGCTGGAGTCCATTATTCTAAGCAAATAAATACAGAAACAAAAAAAAATCACATATTACATGTTCTTATTTATAAGTGAGAGCTAAATCTTGGGTACACATGGGCATAAACCTGGGGAAAATAGACACTGCAGACTCCAAAAGAAGAGAAGGAGGGGAGCAAGGGCTGAAAAATATGCTATTTATGCTTACTAGCTGTGTAACAGGATCAGTAGAAGCCTAAACCTCAGCATCAAACAGTATATGCTTTTAACAATCCTACACATGTAACCCCTGAAACTAAAATAAAAATGGATTCAATTGCTTTAATTTTTAGCTCCCACAAATAAATAAGAACATGTGAATGTTATCTTTCCGTGCTGGGCCTATTTCACTTAGTATAATGACCTCCAGTTTCATCCAAGTTGCTGCAAATGACATCATCTCCAAGATCTCATTCTTTTTTATGGTTGAATAGTACTCCGTTGTGTATATATACCACATTTCTTTATCCATTCAGCTGTTGATGGAGACTTAGGCTGCTTCCAAATGACTATTGTGAGAAGTGCTGCCATAAACATGGGAGTGTGGCTATCTCTTTGATAAACTGATTTCCTTTCTTTTGGGTCTATACCTAACAGTGGTATTGCTGGATCATACG
The DNA here is from genome assembly GCF_000001405.40 of Homo sapiens. Taxonomy (NCBI): domain Eukaryota; kingdom Metazoa; phylum Chordata; class Mammalia; order Primates; family Hominidae; genus Homo; species Homo sapiens. The sequence continues at coordinate 79,334,507 of NC_000023.11, read as the reverse complement.
GTAGCTCTTTTTTATTTTTTAATGTTTTATTTATTTGTTCATTTATATTTATATTTTTATGGATACACAGTAGGTGTATATATTTAGTGGGCACATGAGAGGTTTTGGTACAGGCATGCAGTGCATAATAATCACATCATGGAAAATGGGATATAAATACCCTCAAGCATTTATTCTTTGTGTTACAATCAATCCAATTATACTCCTTCAGTTATTTTAAAATATACCTTTAATTTATTATTGACTATAGTCACCCTGTTGTGGTATCAAACACCAGGTCTTATTTATTCTTTCTAATTTTTTTTTATACTCATTAACCATCCCACATGAAGAGCACTCCATTTTGTGTAAGCACCACATTTTCTTTACTAATTTATCTTTTGATGGACATTTAAGTTGCTTCCAAATCTTGGCTATTGTTAACAGTGCTGCAACAAACATGGAAGTGCAGATATCTCTTTGATATACCGATTTTTCTTTTGGGTATATACCCAACAGTGGTACTGCTGAATCATATGGTAGTTCTCTTTTTAGTTTTTTGAGAAATCTCCAAATTGTTCTACACAGTGTTTGTACTAATTTATGTTCCTATCAGCAGTGTATATAAGGGTTCCATTTTTGCCACTTCCTGGTTACCAGAGACTGAGAAAAGTAGTGGAGCGGCTGACATGGGGAAGGAGGTATGGTTAAATGGTACAAAAATAGTTGAAAAGAATGAAGAAGATCTAGTATTTTATAGTACGATGGGATGATTTGAGTCAACAGTAATTCAATTGTACATTTCAAAATAACTAAAAGTATATAATTGAATTGTTTGTAACACAAAGGATAAATGCTTGAGGTAATGGAAACCTTGTTTACCCTGATGTGATTGTTAGACATTGTATGCCTGTAGCAAAATATCCCATATATTCTATACATACATACATACATACATATATATATATATATACCCACTATGTACTCATATGAATTAAAATTTGAAAATTAAAATATAAAATATAATAAAAATGAAAATTAAAAATATTAATTGACAGAAAACATAGGAACATATAAAACTTGCTGGTAAAGGTAAGTATGTAGTCAAATGTAGATTACTCTAATACTGTAATGGTGGTATATAAATCACTTTAAACAGTATAAAAGTTAAAAGGCAAAAGTATCAAAAAGAGCCAAAGCTACAATAAGTTATTAATGTATAAACAATAAAGTGGTAGAAAGTTCCACATCAATAACAAAATATTGGGAAGGGTGACAAAAGTACTAATTTTTGTAAACAAAATTAACATGCCATCAGGTTAAAACAGAACGTCATAACCATAAGATGCTTTATGCAAGTCTCATGTTAATCACAAACAAAATACCTATATTTGATTCACAAAAGAAAAAGATAGGTTGGGCGCGGTGGCTCAAGCCTGTAATCCCAGAACTTTGGGAGGCTGAGGCAGGTGGATCACGAGGTTAGGAGATCGAGACCATCCTGGATACATGGTGAAACCCCGTCTCTACTAAAAATAAAAAAAAATTAGTTGGGCGTGGTGGCGGGCGCCTGTAGTCCCAGCTACTCGGGAGGCTGAGACAGGAGAATGGCGTGAACCCAGGAGGCAGAGCTTGCAGTGAGCCAAGATGGCACCACTGCACTCCAGCCTGGGCGACAGAGCGAGACTCCATCTCAAAAAATAAAAAAAGAAAAAAAAAAGATAAAGGAATCAAAGCATGCCACTACAAATCAGAAGTTAAAACAGCAGATGAAGAAGGAAACAAAGCACTGCAAAACAGTCAGTAAAAAATTAACAAAATGGTATTAATAAGTCCTATGTATCAACAATGACCTTAAGTGTAAATTGGTTAAATTATCCAATCAATACATGTACATTGGCTGAATGGATAAAAGAAAAACAAAGGCAAGATTCAACCATGTGTTGTCTACAAGAAACTCACTTTAGCTTTAATGACACACATAGGCTAAAAGTGATGGGATAAAATACAATATCCCATGAAAATTGCAACCAAAAGAGAGCAGGGGTGACTATATTTATAAAAGACAAAATAGATTTATGTCAAAAACTGTCAGAAGAAAACAAGAATGTCATTATACAAAGATAAAGGGGTCAAGTCATAAACAGAATATTACAATTGTAACTATAAATGCATTCAATATTGGAGCAACTAAATATATAAAGCAAATATTAACAGAACTGAAGGGAGAAATACATAGCAATACAATTACTGTAGGGGACTTTAATACCCCCTTTCAATAATGGATAGATCACTCAAAAGTAAATCAATAAGGAAACAGAGAATTTGAACATCAGTATAAAATGATGGATCTAACAGATATATACAGACCCTTCTGTCCAACAGTAGCAGAATACAAATCCTTCCCAAGTATATATGGAACATTTTCCAGATTAGACCATATGTTAGGCCACAATACAAGTGCTAACAAATGTAAAAATGTTAAAATCATATCAAGTATCATTTCTAACCACAATGATATGAAATTAGAAATCAATAACAAAAGGAAAACTGGGAAACTCGCAAATATGTGTAAATTAAGCAACATACTAACAAACAACCAATGAGTTAAATAAAAATTTCAAGTGTAATAAAATAATATCTTGGTGAAGCAGGAGAATAGGGAAAATGAGGCAGGAGAATAGTGAAGGGAATTAAAAGTTGGATAAAGGGCAGAAGAAGTAAAAGCAGAGGGCAGAAGCAAGGTGAAGGGGCAGGTGAGCAAGAAGCAAGGTAAGAGGCAGAAGTTAAGCAGCCAAAACAAAAAGTAAGATAAAGCAGCGAGCAAGGATCCCATGGCCAATAGTATCCAGACCAAACAAGTAAGGGGCAACTCTTCAGGGATAGTCATGTGCATTAAAAATATCCTTAGCATGACCCTGTGTAATAATCAGCTCATTAAAGCTCACACCTATGGACTTCATATCATGCGTGTACTTAAACTTATGGGATGGAGGCAATGTGCAAGCACACAGGGGTTAAATAACTAAGCAACACACCTATCAGTCAAAAAGGCAGACACTGGCTAGTCAGCCCTTGGGGAGAGAGGAAAAAGAAAACACATAAAAAGACCCAAAGTACACCAAACTAAGGCTGATCTAATCTACAGAGGTCAGTCTGTTCTCCCCCTCTGAGAGTGTAATATTGTGCCTAATAAATTTTTGCTGCTTTGCTTTGCTATCTGTGTATATCTTATCCAATTGTTTGTTTGAGACGCCAAGAGCTTGGAACTATGAGGCACTATCTGGTAACATTGGGACAAGTTAAAATGAAAATACAACATACCAAGCTTATGGGATGCAGCAAAAGGAGTTATCAGCAGGAAGTTTTCAGTAATAAATGGCTACATTAAGAAAATAGCAAAATCTGAAATTAAAAAAAAATCACTTTACAATGCCAGGAAATAAAAAAAAGAGCAACAAGTACACACAGTAAGCATAAGGAAATAATAAAGATAAAACAAGCAAATTAAATAAAGACCAGAAAAAACAATAGAAAATATTCACAAAATTAAGACTTGTTTTTTAAAAAGATAAAGCAATAGAATTTTAGCTAGAGTAAAAAGGGAGAGAAAAGATATAAACAAATAAATTTATAAATGAAAGAGGAAGCATTACAACTGATACCAGAGAAATATGAAGGATCATGAGACTACTATGAACAATTACATATCAACAAATTGGATAACCTAGAAGTGGATGAATCCTAGACATAAAATCTAGCATGCCTGAACCACGAAGACATAGAAAATCTGAATAGACAGATAACATGAAAGGAGATTAAATCAGTTATCAAAAATCTCCTGGCAAAAAAGTTTAGAGCTAGATGAATTCACTGGGGAATTCTATCCAAACTTTAAGAATTTTTGAAATTCTAAAACTCTTCTAAAACTTTGAGAGGATGTAACCCTTTCAAATTCATTCTATGAGGCCAACTTTACCCTGATACCAAAAGCAGACACTATAAGAAGAAAATTACAATCCACTATTCCTGATGTACATAGATAAGAAAATCCTCAACAAAATACTACAAACTGACTTCAGCAGGACTTTATAAGCATTATATACCTTGAAAAAGTGAATTTATACCTTGGAGGCAAGAATGTTTAACACATGCAAATAATAAATATGATACTGAGACAGACAGGTCAGGAAGCTCCCTGACAAAATTCCGGCTGGCCTGTGCATTGGGAGGAGGGCACACTGGGGTGGAGACACAGAAGTTTTCATTCTTTGAAGCGGGGAGAAGCCTCGCCCCTCCTGTTCCTGTGTGGAACTTGGGATTAAACTGCAAGGCAGGAAGCTGACCAGCAGGGACTCTCCTTTGCAGAGGGTACCTGTTTCCCTTTACTTCCCTTTTCACCCAATAAAACCCTGCCTTATTCACCCTTCAAATTGCCTATGAGCCTAATCTTTTGTGGCCTTGTGACAAGGACCCCGTCTTTAGCTGAACTAAGGAGAAGTCCCACAACAATACACTACATAAACAGAATAAAAAATAAAAATCATATGATCATCTCAATAGATGTAGAAAAAAATTTGTGAGCTCAACATCCTTTCATGGTAAAATCTCTCAAACAATTAAGTATATAAGAAATGTACCTCAACATAATAAAGGCCATATATTACCCACCTGCAGCTAATACAGACAATATGAAAAATTGAAGACTGTTCCTCTAAGATCACGAACAAGGCAAGGATTCTCACTTCACCACTTCTAATTAACATAATACTAGAAGTCCTAGCCAGTGTAATTAGGTAACAAAAAAAGTCTTACATATAGGAATGGAAAAAAGTAAAACTGTCTTATTTGCATATAATGAGATATTACATTTTGAAAACCCTAAAAACTTCTCAAAAAAGTGTCAGAACTAATACATCAACTCAGTAATGTTTCAGGACACATAATCAGTTACAATTATCTGTTACATTTCTATATACTAACACTTTATCAGAAAAAAATATAGGGAAACAATCTTATCTAAAATCTCATATCTGTTACATTTCTATATAATAACAGCTTATCAGAAAAAAATAGGGAAACAATCTTACCTAAAATCTCATCTAAAATATCATCAAAAAAGATAAAAATAGTTAGATATAAATTTAATAAAGAAAATGAAAAAGGTGTACACTGAAAACTACAAAACAATTGAAAGACAATAAAGTAGACACAAATAAATTGAAATATATTTTTATGTTATGGAATTGAAGAGGTAAAATTGCTAAAATGTTCATACTACACAAAGCAATCAACAGATTCAAGTCAATCCCTATCAAAATTCCAGTGGCCTTTTCCACAGAAATAGAATAAATTATCCAAAAATTTATATGAAACCAGAAAAGACCCTGTAAGCAAAGCAATTTTGAGTAAGTAGAACAAAGTAAAGACAACAGACTTCTTGATTTCAATTATATTACGTATTTATAGTAATTAAAACAGTACTGGCACTGGCATAAAACAGACATGTAGACCAATAGAACAGAATGAAGAACCCTGAAATAAATCCTCACATATAAAGTCAGCTAACTTTTGACAAGGATGCAAAGAATACAAGTGGGCAAAGAATGGTCACTTCAATAAATGGTGTTGGAAATACTGGTTATCTACATGAAAGCAGGTAAAATTTGACTCTTATCTTCCCTATACACAAAATCAATGCATAATGAATTCGTGACCCAACAATAAGGCATGAATCTGTAAAAGTCCTAGAAAAAAAAAGTGGAAAAATTCCTAGAAAGTGATTTTGATAATAATTTTCGTATATGACATAAAAAGCAAAAGCAAGAGATGTAAAAATAAACAAGTGGGAATACATCAAACTAAAAAGCTTCTGCAGAGCTAAGAAACAACAAAATAAAAAGGCAACCTATGGAATGGGAGAAAATATTTGCAAACCATGCATCTGATAAGGGGTTAATATCCAAAATATCCAAGAAACTCATACCGTGGAACAGCTAAAGTACACCCAATTTTAATAATGGGCAAAGGACCTAAGTAGACATTCTTCCAAAGAAAACATACAAATGCCCAAGTATATGAATAGTTGCTCAATATCACTAATAACCCAGGAAATACAAATCAAAACCACAATAAGGTATTACCTCACATCTGTTTGAATGGCTATTATAAAATGCCAAAGGATAAATTATTCTGCAGGTGTGGAGAAAGGAGAAAACTTGTACACTCTTGGTGAAAATGTAAATATATACATCAATTATCAAAAACAGTATGCAGGTTTCTCAACAAATTAGAACTAGAAATACTATATGATCTAGCAATCCCACTTCTGGGTGTACATATCCAAAATAATTTAAACCACAATTTCAAAGAAGTATGTGCACTCCTATGTTCACTGCAGCATTATTTACAATAGCCAAGATATGAGAAACATGTAAATGCCCATCAATGGACAAATAAATAAGAAATTGTGACATAATATATATATGAATAATATTCGACCTTAAAAAAGAAGCAAATTCTGTCATTTGTTGCAAAATGAATGGACCTAGAAGGCATTACGTTAAGTAAAATAAACTAGACACAGAAAAAAAAACTGTATTCTTTTACTTATTTGTGGTATGTAAATTAGTCAAACTCACAGAAACAGAGAATAGAATGGTGGTTACTAAAGACTGAGGTAAGGGAGAAATGGAAAGGTGATAGTTTGAGGGTCAAAATTTCAGTTATGCATAATAAATTGGTTCTGGAGATCTACTATATAGCATAGGGACCATATCTAACAATACTCTATTGTACACTTAAAATTGCTAAAAGAAATAGATCTTATATTAAATGTTCTTAACATTAAAAAACAAGAAAAAAGGTATTAATAACAAACGGGACAGGCGGAAACTTTGGTAGATGATGTATATGTTTAGAGTGTTGATGGTGGTGATCGTTACACAGGTATACACCTAGTCCCAATTTATAAATATGTATATATTAAATGTGTAAAGCTTTTAATATGTCAATCATACCTTAATAAGGTGGTTTTAAAAAAATGAAAGTGGGAATGGCTTTATTAATTTCAGGCAGAGCAGACTTAAGAGCAAGGGACATTATCAGTGAGCAGAAAAAATGAAATAATACAAATTAAAGCAAAAATCAATGCATTCAGAAACAGGAAATCAATAGGGAAAATAAACAGATCAAAAGGTGGTTCTTTGAAAAGATTAATACAAATGAAAAACCTCTAGCCAGGCTAATTAAGAAAGAAAAAGAGAGTGCTAATGCAGGGCCTAGACTTCTAGTGCCTCTGAGGCAGAACCAAAGTAGCATGCACCCAGAGAAATTCCTGTTCCTGCCCCGCCTGTCTGCCTGTGACCTGTGTACCTGTTATGAAACTCTAGGGCCAGCTGATTTTTGGGCTTGCAGGATGGTTTTGAACAGAAATAATACTTGTTTACTGTAGGAGCCCTAGTTTTTATTTTTCTGTCCTATGAATGCTGTGAAATGATTTATTCCTTTCAGGCCAGGAATCTCACAGGCATATATACCTCTAGGTTAGGATTATCCTAACTCACTAAAGATGTCAGGATATTGGGGCTGAGAGGAGTTTGGGCTGTTAAAAATAACAGTGTTTGTCTCTCAAACTGGCGACCAAGAAATAGCTAAGACAATTTTGGTGCATTACCTATCTCTGCAAAGAATGGAAAATTTGGCATACCATTAATTACAACCTCCAGTCATATCAAACAAAACTACCCTAAAAGAAAAACTAATGGGCACTCTTGAAAAAGTTTAAATATCAGAAGATTAAAAAGACTTTAGAATTTGGGAAAAAAAGGAAAACAGAAAACACTAATTACTAATATCTAAAATGAAAAGCAGACATCACTATAAATCCTATGGAGATTAAAATGATACTAAGCAATTTTTTTTCAACTTTCATTTTAGGTTCAAGGGGTACATGTGCAAGTTAGTTACAAGAGTATATTGCATGACCCTGAGGTTTGGGGTATTAATGATCCCATCACCCAGATAGTGAGCATAGTACCCAGTAGGTAGTTTTTAAAAAAATTCTCAGGCATCCCAATCCCTCTGTCATCTAGTAGTCCCCAGTGTCTATTGTTCCCAACTGTTTATCTACGTGTACTCAATGTTTAGCTCCCACTTTTACGTGAGAACATGTAGAATTCAGTTTTCTTTTCCTGCATTAATTTTCTTAGGATAATGACTTCCAACTACATCTGCGTTTCTGCAAAAAAACATGATTTCATTCTGTTTTATGGCTGTGTAATATTCCATGGTGATACATACTACAGTTTCTTTCTTTCTTTTTTTTTTTTTGTAGGTGGGCTAAGGTTTATTTACTTACATAACATTTAAAAATAATTCATTGGGTGGCTGGCAAGATGGCCAAATAGGAACAGCTCCAGTCTGCAGCTCCCAGCAAGATCAATGCAGAAGGCGGCTGATTTCTGCATTTTCATCTGAGGTACCTGGCTCATCTAATTGGGACTGGTTAGGCAGTAGGTGCAGCCCATGGAGGGCAAGCAGAAGCAGGGTGGAGTGTTGCCTCACATGGGAAGCACAAGGGGTTGGGGAACTCCCTTCCCTAGCGAAGGGAAGCCGTGAGGAACTGTGCTATGAGGAAGAGTGCATTCCAGCGCACATACTATGCTTTTCCCACAGTCTTTACAACCCTCAGACCAGGAGATTCTCTCCGGTGCCTACACCTCCAGGGCCCTGGGTTGCAAGCACAAAACTAAGCAGTCATTTGGGCAGGCACCGAGCTAGCTGCAGGAGGTTTTTTGTTTTGTTTTGTTTTGTTTTTCATACCCCAGTGACACTTGGAATACCAGAAAGGCAGAACCATTCACTCCCCTGGAAACAGGCTGAAGCCAGGGAGCCAAGTGGTCTAGCTCAGTAGATCCCACCCCACAGAGCCCAGCAAGCTAAGATCCACTGGCTTGAAATTCTCACCGCCAGCACAGCAGCCTGAAGTCAACCTAGGATGCTCGAGCTTGGTGGAGGGAGGAGCCTCCACCATTACTGAGGCTTGAGTAGGTGGTTTTCCCTTCACAGTGTAAACAAAGCCGCTGGGAGGTTTGAACAGGGTGGAGCCCAACACAGCTCAGCAAAGCCACTGTAGCCAGACTGCCTCTCTAGGTTCCTCCTCTCTGGGCAGGGCATCTCTGAAAGAAAGGCAGCATTCCCAGTCAGGGGCTTATAGACAAAACTCCCATTTCCCTGGGACAGAGCACCTGGGGGAAAGGGGGGGCTGTGGGTGCAACTTCAGCAGACTTAAACGTTCCTGCCTCCTGGCTCTGAAGAGAGCAGTGGATCTCTACATTTTCTTTCCATTTCTGGTCTTCCTAAGCCTCCACTAGCTTTTGAAGATCCAGTTTTCTGGCTGCATGCTGCCTTAGCTCTTCTAGCTTGGTGTTAATTTTTTTTTTTTTTTTTTTTTTTTTTTGAGACGTTGTCTCGCTCTGTCGCCCAGGCTGGAGTGCAGTGGCGCGATCTGGGCTCATTGCAAGCTCAGCCTCCCAGATTCACGCCATTCTCCTGCTTCAGCCTCCCGAGTAGCTGGGACTACAGGCGCCTGCCACCACCACGCCCGGCTAATTTTTTGTATTTTTAGTAGAGAGGGGTTTCACCGTGTTAGGCAGGATGGTCTCAATCTCCTGACCTCGTGATCCGCCCGCCTTGGCCTCCCAAAGTGCTGGGATTACAGGCGTGGGCCACCGCGCCCAGCAGCGTTCATTTTTTTCATTCACTTGCTCTGTCAAAATGATCCTCTCTAACATTTGGGCTGTCTGACCAGCTGCCTCACTCAGACCACGACTTTTAATTTTTTATTCTCCATCAGGGATTGTAGATTTTCTGATGGTTACACATTTATAGATCCAGGCAGGGTACCTCCATGGGCTTGTAGGAACCAGACTTGTAGCTGTTGTACCTGTTGCTTTAGATGATTAAGTTCAACTATCTGGCGATCAGTATTAACAACAGGTTTGTTCCTGGTTTTTCTTGCTCTGTCAGCATAGCGAAGGGTATTTAGTTTCCTCTAGATTGGAGCCAGCAGGACTCACACAGCCTATTATAAGAGTATGGTTATTACCACTTAGAGAACCTTGAAGCAGTCGAGCCAACTTGGAATCTCCGTAGGACACAAAGTCACCCTTTTTGTCTTCTCCAAGAGCACTGATTACATTTCCCAAGCATAGAAGGCCTCGGTTAATATTAATACCCTCTTTTAGATGATCCCCTTCAGCCTTGGTTTTCTTCTCTCTTTCTGATCCAGCGAGGTCTACAAGATGTAGCTTGGAGCGAAAGCTGCTATTCTTGTCACTTTTCTTTCTCTGCTCTATGGAGATTGTAAAGATGGCATGAGATTGGGATGACTGGGGGTTCATAGCTGTGGAGGCCACAGTCCTAAAGTTGTTGCGCTGCTCCAAATAGGAAACAGTATCCAAGGCAACTAAAACAGTCTGCTCAGTGAGTATCACAATCTTTATGCTATAGAATACACATTCTTTTCCTGAGTACATGGATCATTCTCAAGGATAGATCATAAGGTATGCCACAAAACAAGGCTTAAAACATTAAAAAAAAATAAAATAATATGAAGTATCATCTGTAATCACAAAGGAATAAAATTAGAAATCAATAACCTTAGGATCTTCCCATATATTTATTTGAGCTTTCTCACAAGAAGGGCATAGAAGATCCAAAATTTCTTCACTGTAAATCTTTAAGTAAGACATGTTCAGAGTAAATTCCAAGTCACTCTTTTTATCAATTTCTTTGAAGAGCAGTTGTATTACCCTAGGAATAACCCCAACTGTTGATTCCTTCTCTTTCTCTGCAGTGTATGCACCTCCCATTGAATATGTGTTTTTCCAGAGCAAGTCTGCCCATAGGCCAGGACCGTTGCATTATATCATTTAAATATGCCTTTTATGAGTGGTGCTACTGCTGTATTGAAGACTTCTTCCTGTTCACTACTGGGGTCAAACACAAAATCATAGTTCAAGGATTTATCAGTACCAACCACTACCTGAGGCTCCCTGGGCACGAAGGAAAGGCATATCTGGCAGCAGCCCTCGATAATCTCTTTGGGGACCAGAGGGCAACAACACAGCGCCACTCTTATAAGAATTCCCTTCACCTCTTCCTTCATGATCCTATCTCAGCACCGCCTCAAACTCAATGTCTTTTCTTGGTTCTCCCCAGGTCTCCCCTTACTACAGTTTCTTTATCCAGTTCACTGTTGATGGGGATCTGGGTTGATTTCATGTCTTTGTTATTGTGAATAGTGCTGCAATAAACATATGAGTACATGTGTTTTTTGGTAGAAAAATATATATTATAAAGGTGACCAGGGGCGGTAGCTCACACCTGTAATCCCAGTACATTGGGAGGCTGAGGTGGGAGGATCCCTTGAACTTGGGAGTTCAAGACCAGTCTGGCCCATATGGTGAAACCCTGCCTTTACTAAAAACACAAGAAAAATTAGCCAGGAGTGGTGGCATACACCTATAATCCCAGCTATTCAGGTTGCTGAGGCAAAAGAATCCCTTGGACCTGGGAAGAGGGGTTGTAGTGAGCTGAGATTGCACCACTGCACTCCAGCCAGGGTGATGAAGTGAGGCTCTGTCGAAAAAAGAAAGAGAAAGAAAGAAAGAAAGAAAGAAAGAAAGAAAGAAAGAAAGAAAGAAAGAGAGAGGGAGAGAGAGAGAGAGAAAGAAAGAAAGAAAGAAAGAAAGAAAGAAAGAAAGAAAGAAAGAAAGAAAGAAAGAAAGAAAGAAAGAATTTATTTTTGAAAGGAATATCTTAAACAGCTCTATGCACACAAAGTTGATAATCTTCATGAAATGGACAAAGTTCTTGAAAGACACAATCTGCCATGTCTCACACCAAAAAAATTACATAATCTGAATAGGCTTATATATATTAAAGGAATTGAGTAAGTTATTAATGATATTAATATTTAACAATAATAGATACAATATAAGTTTTAGGGATAAGAAATACGATTTAACCAGAAATAAAAAAAATTGTTTAAATTATAAAGACAATTGTGCAAAACTCTTAACCCACTCTAACAATCAGTGTCCAAAGAAAAAGTAAATGGCATACTCAAAGGGTTTAACTGAAAAAAGTTTAATGAAAAGATTATTTAGAAACATAAAAGCAGGGTGATATATTTTATACATATACCACATTTTGTTTTTTCCAATAATCAACTGATGGAAATTTGTGTTGTTTCCACTTGTGGGATACTATGTATAATGCTGCCATGAAAATTTTTGTACAAGTTTTGTTGTGGATATATGTTTTTATTTCCCTTAGGTAGATACTAGGAATGGAATTGCTGGGTCATATGGTAGCTTTATGTTTAACTTTTCCAGGAACTGCTAGCCTGTTTCTGAAAAGGCTGCACCTTCCCGTTCATTTTTCAACTCTAGCATAACTCTGATAGTCAAGACTGAAAAAATATGTTGAAGTTTCTTAAGGCTTGATTCTGGGTCTTTCCCCATCTCAGCATTGGACCCATCTTACAAATTCTGAATTTGAATAAATTGAGGTCAATCTTGCACTTTCTGCTAAAAAAATAAAAATAAAATAAAAACTAAATAAAAAAACTAAATAAAAATAAAAAACAGCCTCACTACTTTCTTATTTTGTTCAGTGGTTACTTATTCAACAAGAAAAACACTACTTGATCAGCAAAATTGAATAAATGATTGGAATGAAAAATACACAGAAGAAAAATCAGACAAATAAATAATAATCCAATAATTGACGAGATACAAATTACAGTAGAAAGTTTTTCACCTGTCAATTGATAAATAGCAAGATACAATGCCAGTGAAGATATAGTAATAATAGCTACTATGTTTTGAGTGTTTAATATAGGCCATGTGCTTTACATGCATTATTTCATTATCTTGGGATACTATATAATATGGGATACTATGTACAATGTATCCTATTATCATATTAGGCAGATACTTTTATTAATTCCATTTTATAGTACAGAAAAATGTGCCAAAGTCATGAAGCTAGTAATTCATGGTACTGGGATTTGGGTCCAGATAATCTGACTCACTCCCCTGGGTGTCTATAATTTTCTACCTTTAAAAATGAGTGTTTCATGTTCCATTCGTGTATATCTTTCCTTCCTGTCTGTGCACATATATGAGAAGTGGTCTAACAAAATAATACAGAAAAGCAACAATATGATAGGAAATAAATAAGATCAATAGAAGAGGTGGGTTGTCTTCTACATGCTTTTCTTCAGAGAACATAGAAGAACCAAATCTTATCTAAAAGAGGACTATGAAGAGCCTTCTTGCCCTACAGAATTCCAGACCTTGACATTGCAGGGGAATGTTAAAATACAGCCAGGACCCTGTGGTGGAGGAAAGAATGGAGTGGAAAATAGAGACAAATTAAACTATTGGAGCTATGTGGGAATCTGTGTCACCATTAGAGGCTTTTTAAAATAGTCTTTAAAAAGATGCAACCCACTGGAGAAAATGAAAATCTATTTTGTACTACCCAGAGGATTTCTACTAAATTCATTAGTATAGAAAATTTCAAATATATACAAAGATAGAAAGATATGATTAGCCTTTATATGTATAGCCACCACCCAATTTTTATCAATATATGGCCAGTGCTGATTCATCAATTGCCCTTCTTCATTTTTTATCCTATCCGCAAATACTTAAATATATACCTTGAAATAATACATATTATTTTTGAAAACATAGTATTATTATACACCTAAAATTATATTTTTAATTTATCTTTTATTTTTTAGGGACCAGGTAAGTTAATACTCATGTGGTACATGAGATATTTTGATACAGGCATACAATGTGTAATAATCAAATCAGGATAAATGAGGTATTAATCACCTCAACCATTTATTTTTTATGTTACAAACAATCCAATTTTACTCTTTTAGTTATTTTTAAAATGTACAAATAAATTATTTTTTACTAAGTCACCCTGTTGTCCTGACAAATACTATCTTATTTATTCTTTCTATGTTTTTATACCAAATACCGATCCCCACTTCCTCCCTCATCTCCCACTACACTTCCCAGCATCTGGTAACCATCCTTCTACTCTCTATCTGCATGAGTTCAATTGTTTTGATTTTTAGCTCTCAAAAATAAGTGAGGGTATTACTGAGGGATCCTGGCAGATGGGAGGCAGGACTAGATTGCAGCACTAGACAGAGTTGCATGTGGAGGCTTGCATTGTGAAGTTTAATTCCAGATCAACTCCAAAAACAAACCAGCAATCCTGGGAGGATCCTCTGAAGTAAGCAGACTGCTCCTGCAGGACCCAGGAGAAACCCCAAATACTGCGAGTGCCCCAACTGCGGAAGTGGGAAAGGGAGACCCTCCTCTCCCAAACACACCCCCGCACTGGAAAAGCTGAAGGCCTATTTGCAGGAGAAGTTTCTGACTTTATCTGGAGCTAAGTCAAGTTGCAGAGCCAAGCCGAGTGAAATACAGGGGTAGAAGAAGCAGCAGAAAGGCCCTGGGAGCTCGCTGGGTCTTCAAGCAGTCCATTCCTGCCTGACACCACAGGGATCCATCAGGAGGATGGCCAGAGGAGCAGGGGTAAAACTCCAAAGGGAGAAAAAATTCTCTAGCTGAACTGTGTAATAATTTGAACAGGGCGAGAAGCCTCCTGGCCAGAACTCGAAGGAGGGTGGGAATCCAACATGCAGACTTCACAGACATGGGGAAGAGCTAAAGCCCTTTTCCTTCACAGCTGAGAGGCAGAAAAACCTCAGGCAAATTTTTAAGCCCATCTCACCCTCCGTCTGGAAACAGACTCAGGGCTGTTGGGAGAAGCACAGTGAGAGTGAGACCAGCCCTTCAGTTTGCCTGGGAGCTGGATGAGGCCTGTTACTGCCAGCTTTCCCCCACTTCCCTGACAACCAGCATGACTCAGAAGAGGCAGTCATAATCCTCCTAGGTACACAACTCCAGTGAACTTGGAATCTCATCCCCATCCCCTACAGCAGCCATAGCAAGACCCACCCAAGGAGAGTCTTGAGCTCAGACATGCCTAGCCTGCCCCCACCTGATGGTCCTTCCCTATCCACCCTGGTAGCAAAAGAAAAAAGGCATTTAATCTTGGGAGTTCTAGGGCCCTGCCCACCACCAGTCCCTGTCCACACTACTACAACTGATGCTTTCTGGAAAACCCCACCTACTGACAGGAGGCCAACCAGCACAAAAATAGAGCATTAAACTACCAAAGCTAAGGACCCTCATGGAGTCCATTGCACCCTCTGCCACCTCCACCAGAACAGGAACTGGTATCCATAGCTGAGAGACCCATAGATGGTTCACATCACAGGACTCTGTGCAGACAACCCCCAGTACCAGCCCGGAGCTGGGTAGACTTGCTGGGTGGCTAGACCCAGAAGAGAGACAACAATCACTGCAGCTTGGCTCACAGGAAGCCACATCCACTGGAAAAGGGGGAGAGTACTACATCAAGGGAACACTCTGTGAGACAAAAATTCTGAACAATAGCCTTCAGTCCTAGACCTTCCCTCTGACAGAGCCCACCCAAATGAGAAAAAACCAGAAAACCAACCCTAGTAATATGACAAAACAAGGCTCTTCAACACCCCCCAAAAATCACACTAGTTCACCAGCCATGGATCCAAACCAAGAAGAAATTCATGATTTACCTGAAAAAGAATTCAGGAGGTTAGTTATTAAGCTAATCAGGGAAGGACAAGAGAAAGGCAAAGCCCAATGCAAAGAAATCCAAAAAAAAGGATACAAGAAATGAAGGGAGAGATATTCAAGGAAACAGGTAGTTTAAAGAAAAAACAATAAAAAATTTGGGAAACTGCAGACATACTTTTAGAAATGGAAAATGCTCTGGAAAGTCTCAGCAATAGAATTGAATAAATAGAAGAAAGAAATTCAGAACTTGAAGACAAGGTCTTTGAATTAACTCAATCCAACAAAGACAAAGAAAAAAGAATAAGAAAATATGAACTAAGCCTCCAAGAAGTCTGGGATTGTGTTAAATGACCAAACCTAAGAATAAACAATGTACCTGAAGAAGTAGACAATTCTAAAAGCTTGGAAAACATATTTGGGGGAATAATCAAGGAAAACTTGCCTGGCCTTGCTAGAGACCTAGACATGCAAATACAAGAAGCACAAAGAACACCTGGGAAATTCATTGCTAAAAGATCTTCAACTACACACATTTTCCTCAGGTTATCCAAAGTTAAGACAAAGGAAAGAATCTTAAGAGCTGTGAGACAGAAGCACCAGGTAACCTATAAAGGGTAACCTATTAGATTAACAGCAGATATCTCAGCAGAAACTCTACAAGCTAGAAGGGATTGGGCCCTATCTTCAACCGCCTCAAGCAAAACAATTATCAGCCAAGAATTTTGTATCCAGTGAATCTAAGCATCATACATGAAGGAAAGATACAGTCATTTTCAGACAAACAAATGATCTGAGAATTTGCCATTACCAAGCCACCACTACAAGAATTGTGAAAAGGAGCTCTAAATCTTGAAACAAATCCTGGAAACCCATCAAACCAGAACCTCTTTAAAGCATAAATCACACAGGACCTATAAAACAAAAATACAAGTTAAAAAGAAAAAAAAAAAAAAAACGAATAAAAGTACACAGGCAACAAAGAGCATGATTAACGCAATGGTACCTCACATTTCAATACTAACATTGAATGTAAATGGCCTAAATGCTCCACTTAAAAGACACAGAAGTGCAGAATGGATAAGAACTCATGAACCAAATATCTGCTGCCTTCAGGAGACTTATCTAACACATAAGAACTCACATAAACTTAAAGAGGTAGAAAAAGGCATTTCATGCAAATGGACACCAAAAGTGAGCGGGGGGAGCTATTCTTATATCAGATAAAACAAACTTTAAAGCAACAATATTTAAAAGAGACAAAGATGGACATTATATAATGGCAAAATGCCCGTCCGACAGGAAAATATCAGAATCCTAAACATATATGCATCTAACACTGGAGATCTCAAATGTTTAAAACAATTACTAATAGACTTAAGAAATGAGATAGACAGCAACACAATAATAGTGGGGGACTTCAATACTCCACTGACAGCATTAGACAGGTCATCAAGAAAGAAAGGCAACAAAGAAACAATGGATTTAAACTATAACTTGGAACAAATGGACTTAACAGATATATATATATATATATACATAACATTTCATCCAAAAACTGCAGAATACACATGATTCAATAGCACATGGAACTTTCTCCAAGATAGACTATGTGATGGGCCATAAAATGAGCCTTAATAAATTTAAGAAAATTGAAATTACATCAGGCACTCTCTCAGACCACAGTGGAATAAAACTGGAAATCAACTCCTAAAGGAACCTCCAAAACCATGCAAATACATGGAAATTAAATAACCTGCTTCTGAATGAAATCAAGATGGAAAATTTCAAAAATGAAATCAAGATGGAAATTAAAAAATTCTTCAAGCTGAATGACACTAGTGACACAACCTATAAAAACCTCTGGGATACAGCGAAGGCAGTGCTAATAGTAAAGTTCATAGCCCTAAAGGCCTACATCAAAAAATCTGAAAGAGCACAATCTAAGATCACACCCAAAGGAACTAGAAAAACAAGAACAACAAACCAAACCCAAACCCAGCAGAAGAAAGGAAATAACCAAGATCAGAGCAGAACTAGATGAAATAGAAACAAACAAACAAAAAATACAAAAGATAAGTAAAACAAAAGGCTGGTTCTTTGAAAAGATAAATAAAATTGATAGACCATTAGCAAGATTAACCAAGAAGAGAGAAAATCCAAGTAACCTCATTAAGAAATGAAACAGGAGATATTACAATTGACACCACTGAAATACAAAAGATCATTCAAGGCTAGTATGAACACCTTTACACAAATAAACTGGAAAACCTAGAAGAGATGGATGAATTCCTGGAAAAAATACAACCCTCCTACCTTAAATCAGGAAGATTTAGATACCCTGATACCCTAAATAGACCAATAACAAGCAGTGAGATTGAAATTGTAATTAATAAATTACCAACAAAAATGTCCAGGAGCAGACAGATTCACAGCAGAATTCTACCAGACAGTCAAAGAAGAATTGGCACCAAGTATTTTGACACTATTCCACAAGATAGAGAAAGAAGGAAACCTCCCTAATTAATTCCATAAAGCCAGCATCACCCTAATACCAAAACCAGAAAAGGACACAACCAAAAAAGAAAACTACAGACTGATATCCTTGATGAACATGGATGCTAAAATCCTTAACAAAATACAAGCTAACTGATTCCATCAACATATCAAAAATATAATCCATCATGATCAACACTTCTACACTGCTGGTGGGAATGTAAACAAGTACAGCCACTATAGAAATCAGTATGGAGATTCCTTAAAGAACTAAAAGTACAACTACCATTTGATCCAGCAATCCGACTACTGGGTATCTACCCAAAGGGAAAGAAGTTATTATTCAAAAAAGATACTTGCACATGAATGTTTATAGGAGCACAATTTACAATTGCAAAATTGTGGAGCCAACCCAAATGCCAATCAATCAATGAGTGGATAAAGAAACTGTGATATATATAATGGAATACTACGCAGCCATAAAAAGGTATGAATTAACAGCATTTGCAGTGACTGGATGAGACTGGAGACTATTATTCTAAGTGAAGTAACTCAGGAATGGAAGATCAAACATTGTATGTTCTCACTGATATGTGGGAGATAAGCTATGAGGATACAAAGGTGTAAGAATGATACAATGGACTTTGGGGAATTGGGGGGTAGAGTGGGAGGGGGGCAAGGGATAAAAGACTACAAATATGGTGCAGGGAATACTGCTCAGGTGATGCGTGCACCAAAATCTCACAAATCACCACTAAAGAACTTATTCATATAACCAAATACCACCTGTACCCCAATAACTTATGGAAAAATAAATAAAATAAATAAATGAAAAAATAAGTGAGAAAGTATGAAGTTTGCCTTTCTATGCCTGGCTTATTTCGCTTAACATAATAACCACGTGTTCCATTCATGTTGTTACAAATGACAGGTTCTAATTATTTTTGTGGCTGAATAGTACTCCATTGTGTAAATATAGTATAATTTTTATTGATTCATCTGTTGATGGACATTTAGATGGCTTCCAAATCTTGGTTATTATTAATAATGTCCCCATAAACACGGGACTGCAGATATCTCTTTGATACTGATTTTCTTTCTTTTGAGTATATACCTAGCAGTGAGATTGCTGAATCATATAGTACCTCTATCTTTACCTTTTGAGGAACTTCCAAATTGTTCTCCATAATGGTTGTACTAATTCGCATTCCTACCAACAATGTACAAGGGATCCCTTTTCTCCATATTCTTACCTGCATTTGTTATTGCCTGACTTTTGGATAAGAGTAATTTTATATGGGGTAAGATAATATCTCACTGTAGTCTTTGCATTTTTCTGATGATCAATGATATTGAGCACCTTGGCATATAACTATTTAATATTTGCATGTATTTTTTGAGAAATATCTATTCAGATCTTTTCTTCATTTTAAAATTGGATTGTATTTTTTCTGTAGAGTTGTTTGAGCTTCTTATATAATGTAATTATTAATCCTTTGTCAGATGAATATTTTGCAAATATTTACTCCCATCCTGTGGGGTGTCTCTTCACTTTGTTGTCTCTTTACTGTGCAGAGGACTTTTAACTTAATGTAATTCCACTTGTCCATTTTTGTTTTGGTTGTCAGTTCTCACAAGATATTGTTCAAGAAATATTTGCCCAGTCCAATGTCATGGAGAGTTTCTCAATCTATTTCATAGAAGAAGTCTTAGATTTAAGTATTTAATCCATTTTTATTTTATTTTGATATATGGGGAGAGACAGGCGTGTAGTTTAAGTATCTGCATATGGACTGCCAGGTTCCCCAGCGCCATTTATTGGAGATGCTTCCCCTTTTCCAATGTATGTTCTTGACATCTTTGTCAAAAATGAGTTTACTGTAGATGTATGGACTTATCTCTGGATTATTTCCTCTGTTCAATTGGTATATGTGTCTGTTTCTCATGCCAGTACCATACTGTTTTGGTTACTATAGATAGCTCTGTAGTATAATTTAGAGTCAGTTACCATGATTCCTCCAGTTTTGTTCTTTTTGCCTAGGATAGCTTTGGCTATTCTGTGTCATTGTTACTCCATATATATTTTTACATTATTTATTCTATTTTTGTTAGGAAGGTCATTGGTATTTTTACGGGAATTGTATTGTATCTGTTGATTGCTTTGGGTATTATGGACATTTTTAAAGTATTGAATTATCCTATCCATGAAGATGAAATATCTTTTCATTTTTGTTTCTTCTTCACTTTCTAGCATCAATAGTTTATAATTTTTATTGTAGAGATCTTTCACTTATTTGGTCAAAAGAATGCCTAGGTATTTTGTTTTATGTGTAGCTGTTGTAAATGGCATTACCTTCTGGATTTCTTTCACAGATTTTTTTGCTGTTGTCATGTAGAAATGGTACTAATTTTGTATATTAGTAATGTGTACTGTGAATTTCCTGAATTTATCAGTTGGAATAGTTTTGTGGTGGATTCTTTAGGTTTTTTCCAAATATAAGATCATATCACCTGCAAACAAGGATAATTTGACTTCTTTATCTCCAATTTGGATGTTCTTTATTTCTTTCTCTTGTCTTATTGCTCTAAATAAGTCTTCTAGTACCATGTTGAAAAACAGTAGTGACAGTGGATATCCTTGTCTTGTTGCAGATAGTAGAGGAAAGGTTTTCTGGTTTTCCTCATTTCAAATGATACTACTTATGTGTCTGTCATATATGGCTTTCATTTATGTTTAGGTATGTTCCTTTTATAATAAGTGTTTTGAGAGTTTGGATTGTGAAAGAATTTTGAATATTATCAAATACTTTTTCTATAATACATCAATTGAAATAATCATATGGTTTCTGTCCTTTATTCTACTATATGATGTATCACATTGATTAGATTCTGTATGTTGAACCATACTTGCATCCTGAGGATAAATCCCACTTCATCATGATGGATGATTTTTCTAATGTATTGTTGAATCCAGTCTGCTAGTACTTTGTGGAGGATTTTTTCTTCAATATTCATCAGGGATATTCATTGGCTTCTAGTTTTCTTTTTTCGCTTTGTCTTCCTCTGGTTTTGATATCAGGGCAATGCTGGTGTTATTGAATTCTTTAAATGCCTGGTAAAATTCAGCAAAGAAGCCATTGGATCCCAGACTTTTCTTTGTTTGGAGTCTTTTTATTATAGCTTCCATCTCATTACTTGCTATTGGTCTGTTCACATTTTAAATTTCTTCATGGTTCAATCTTTGTCGTTGGTATGTGTCTAGGAATTTATCCATTTCCTCTAAATTTTCCAGTTTATTGGCGTATAGTTGCTCATAGTAGCCACTAATAATCCTCTGAATTTCTGCAGTATCAGTTTTAATGTCTCTTTTTTCATCTCTGATTTTATTATTTGGGTCTTCTTACTATTTTTGTAGTTAGTCAGGATAAACTTTCCTCAATTTTGTTTATCTTTTAAAAAAATCAACTTTTTGTTTCACTGACCTTTTTGTTATTTCCTTCATTTAAATTTTTCCCTCTTAGTACTACTTTCACTGTATCCCACAGATTCTGGTATGTTATGTTTCCTTTATCAATCATTTCAATAAATTTTTTAATTTCCTTCTTAATTTCTTCATTGACCCACTGGTCATTTACAAGCATGTTGTTTAACTTTCATGTATATGTATAGTTTTCAAAATTTCTCTGGTTATTGATTTCTAATTTTATTCCTTTGTGATTACAGATGATACTTGATATTTTTTTGAATGTTTTAAGTCTTGTTTTGTGGCATATCTTATGATCTATCCTTGAGAATGATCCATGTACTGAGGAAAAGAATGTGTATTCTATAGCTATTGGATGAAATAATTTGTAAATATCTTTTAGGTCTATTTGTTCTGTACTGCATATAAAATTCTTCGTTTATTTTCTGTTTGGAAGATCTGTCCAATGCTGAAAAGTGAAGTGTTGAAGTCTCCAGCTATTATTGTATGAGATTATATTTTTCTCTTCAATTCTAATATTTGCTTTATATATCTTTGTGCTCCTATGTTGAGTGCATATATATTTATAATTGTTATACCTTCTTGCTTAATTATCCCCATTATATTTATACAGTGACCTTCTCTGTTTCTCAAAGTTTTTATCTTGAGACCTACTTTGTCTGATATATGTATAGCTACTCCTCCTCTTTACTGGTTACTATTGACATGGAATATGTCTTTTCCTTCCATTTATTTTCAGTCTCTGTGTGTCTTTATAGGTGAAGTCTGTTTCTTGTAGGGAACACATCCTTGGTTCTTGCTTTTATTCACTCAGCATCCCCATGCCTTTTTATTTGATAGCTTAGTCCATTTACATTCAATATTATTATTGATATGTAAGGACCTACTCCTGCCATTTTGTTATTTGATTTCTGGTTGATTACTGGACTTCCCTTCTTTCTTACTTTCTCTTTCTTTCTCTTCTGCCTTTTTTTAATTGCAGGTGGTTTTCTCTGATATTATTATTTAATTTTTTCTTTTAATTTTTATGCACCTGATTTTTGGTTACCATGAGACTTGCAAATACTATTTTATAACCCATTATATTGAGCTGATGACACTTAACACTGTTTGTATATACAAAGTAGAAGAAAAATAATAAAAACTCTACACTTTAACTTTGTCCTCCCACATTTTAACATGTGTTGTTTCTATTTATATTTTACTGTATTGTCTATGTCTTGAAAAGTTGTTTTAAGTATTATTTTTAATTGTCACATCGCTTATTCTTTCTACCTAAAATAAAAGTAGTTTACACAACACAGTTACAGTGCTACGATATTATTTTTTATTTGTGTGTACTATTATTAGTGAATTTTCTACCTTCAGATGTTTTCATGTTGCTCATTAATGTCTTTTTCTTTCTGATAGAAGTACTCCTTTTAGCATTTCTTGCAGGACAGTCCTGGCGTTGATGAAGTCCCTCAGCTTTTGTTTGTCTGAGAATGTCTTTATTTCTCCTTCATGTTTGAGAAATACTTTCACCAGATATACTACTATAGTAGAGTACTTTTTTTTTCTCTTTTTTAAATTTATTATTATACTTTAAGTTTTAGGGTACATGTGCACAATGTGCAGGTTAGTTACATATGTATACATGTGCCATGCTGGTAAAAAATGATGAGTTCATGTCCTTTGTAGGGATGTGGATGAAATTGGAAATCATCATTCTCAGTAAACTATCGCAAGAACAGAAAACCAAACACCGCATATTCTCACTCATAGGTGGGAATTGAACAATGAGAACACATGGACACAGGAAGGGGAACATCACACTCTGGGGACTGTTGTGGGTGGTGGGGGGGTAGGGATAGCATTGGGAGATACACCTAATGCTAGATGACGAGTTAGTATAGAGTACTTTTAATATGCCATGCCATTGTCTCCCGGCCTAAAAGGTCCCGGCCTGAAAAATCTGCTGCCAGTCATATAGATACTCCATTGTCCATTATTTGTTTTTTTTTTTCTCTTGATGCTTTTAGAAGCCTTTCTTTATTGTTGGCCTTGGGGAGTTTGACTGTTAGATGCCTTGAGGTAGTCGTCTTTGGGTTAAATTGGCTTAGTGTTCTATAACCTTCTTGTATGGGGATATTGATATCTTTTTCTAGGTTTGGGATGTTCTTTCCTATTACAATTTTGAATAACCTTTGTACCCTTGTCTTTTTCTTTACCTCCTTTTCAAGGCCAATAACTCTTTGATTTGCTCTTTTGAGGTTATTTTTAAAATTCTGTAGCCATGCTTCATTGTTTTATTTTATTTTTTTCTTTTGTCTCTTCTGGCTGTTTATTTTCAAGTAGCCGGTCTTCAAGCTCACTAATTATTTTTTCTGCTTGATCAATTATGCTATTAAAAGACTCTGATGTATTCTTCAGTATATGAATTTTATTTTTTGACACCAGAAATTCTGTTTGATTTTTTAAATCATTTTCATATTTTTATTAAATTTATCTTATAGAATTCTGAATTTCTTTTTTGTGTTATCTTGAATTTATTTGACTTTCCTTAACACAGCTATTTTGAATTCTCTGTGTGAAAGTTCATGTATCTCTGTTTCTCCAGGATAGGTTCCTGGTGTTTATTTAATTCATTTGCTGAGGTCATTATTATCTTGATACTTGTGAATGTTTGTCTGTGTCTGGCCATTGAATAATTAGGGTTTTTTTGTTTTGTTTTGTTTTGTTTTGTTTTGTTTTTAACAGTCTGGGTTTGTTTATACCTGTCCTTCTTGGGAAGGCTTTCCAGGTATTCAAAATGACTTGATTCTTGTGACCTAAGCTGCATCTGCCTTATGGGGCACCTCAATCCCAATAACGCTCTGGTTATTTCAGACTCCTAGAGACACTACCTTGAATGTCTTAATAAATATGGAGAATTCATGGGATTACCAGGCTGAAACTATTGTCCTGTTCCCTTATTTTATCCCAAACAAATGGTCTCTCTCTCTGTTCTGAGCTGCCTGGAGCTTGGGGTGGGGTGACACAAGCAGCCCTGTGGCCACCACCATTGTGACTTTGCTTAGTCATACCAGAAGCCAGCATAGTACTAGATTTTACCCAAGGCCCACCATAACTACAACTAGACTGGCGCCTATGTTTGCTCAAGGCCTTGGGGGCTCCACAATCAGCACGTGGTGAAGCCAGCAAGGCTTATGTTCTTCCCTTCAGGGAACCAAGTTCGCATACACCCTGAATGGATACAGAGGTTTGTCTGGGAGCCAGAGAGTGGAGTGAAAGGCCTTAAAGTCTACTTGGTGTTCTATTTTGTTATGGTTTAGCTGGCAATCAAACCACAGGATTCAGACCTTCCCAATGTTCCTTCCTCTTTCCAAAGGGGGAGGAGCTTCATCCCATGACCATCACCTCCACAGTCCAATGGCAAGTATGGCCAGCTTACCACCAATGTTTTCTTAAGAAACAGGGGCTCTTCAGTCAACTTGTGGTGGTTGCTACCTGTCTTGGGACTCACGTTTCAGGTCACTAGACTCTTCTCTGGACAAGGAAATGTCCAGAAATCCCATCCAAAAGCCAAGTCTTATATTTGGAGAGCTTAAGATCCTCTTTGGTGTTCTACCACACAGTGTCCAAGCTACTACCTAAGTTTTAAGACAAAGTCTCCTTTACTTTTTCTTCCGCTTTTCTGAAACAGAAGGAGTCTCTCCCCATAGCTACCACACCTGGGAATGTGAAGTCTTATCTGAAGCCATCATGTCTCAGAGTCTCACTGAAGGCTCATGGCATATTACTTGGTTACTACTACTGGTTTTCAGGGCTCAAGGGCTCTTTAGTCAGTATGTGATGCTTCATGCCAGAACTGGATTTTTTCCATTCGAGACAGTGGTTTCTCTTCTGGCCCAGAGTGTTTCTAGAAATGTTATCTGTGAGCTAGGTCCTGGAAAGGGAACCCCACGACCCTGACTGGTGCCCTATCCTTCTGTGGCTGAGCTGGTGTCTAAGATGCAAGACGAAGTCATTTTTACTCTTCCTTTTTCTCTCCTCAAGTAGAATTAAGGAGTCTTTTTTGAAGCTGTGAGCTGTGCAGCCTGGAGTTGGTGGAAGGTTGGCAAAAGCACTTTCTCAGCTTCCCTGCTCGTGACTCAGTAGGTCGCATGCCCCACAAGTCCACTAACCCTGAGACCAGTACAGTACTTGCACTCACCTAGGAGTTGCAGTTCTTGTGGGCTAGATGGCCTTTGAAGTTTATTTGTGGCTCCAGAGGACTTTAGCCTGTGGTGGCAAACTTGGTGGAACTCAAGTTCTGACTGCTGGGATTGGTGATTCCCCTCTGGCTAGGACTGTTTTAAATATTCCCTCCATGGGTGCAAGTCAGCTAAGTTCAACCAAGTTTTGCTTTCTGCTATAACACAGCAGCACTGAGTTCAATGCAATTTATTACAATTACTGCACTCTCCCTATCCCAAACAAATGAACAGAATATCTGTCTGCATCATGTGGTGGCTTCCATGGTATGAGGGAGTGGTGGCATCAGTTATTTAAGACTGTCTTTTCTACCCTCTTCTCTGTCTCTTTCAGTGATATGAACTTAAAACCAGGTACTGTGCATGCTCATCTGATTTTTGGTTTTACAAAGGTGTTTTTTTTGTTTGTTTGTTTGTTTGTTTTGTAGGTAGATGTTAAATTGGTGTCCTTGTGGAGAAAGGGGACAATCAGTGCAGTTTTCTATTTAGCCATTGTATTAGTCCGTTTTCACACTGCTGATAAAAACATACCTGAGACTGGGTAATTTACCAAAAAAAAGAGGTGTATTGGACTTACAATTCCACATGGCTGGGGAGGCCTCACAATTATGGCAGAAGGCAAGGAGGAGCGAGTTACATCTTACGTGGATGGCAACAGGCAAAATGAGAACTTGTGCAAGGAAACTACCGTTTTTAAAACCATCGGATCTCATCAGACTCGTTCACTATCACAAGAACAGTGCGGGAAAGTCCTGCCCCCGTAATTCAATCACCTCTCACAGGGCTCCTTCCAAAACACAGGACAATCATGGGAGTCACAATTCAACATGAGATTTAGGTGGGAACACAGCCAAACCATAGCAGCCATCTTGCTTCACCCCTACTCTAACGCTAGAAGTTTTTAATACCACCACATATTGTGTTCACAATTCCCTGATTGCCTTAATTTAAAAAATATTTTGGTAAAATATGCACAACATAACATTTTCCATTTTTCTTAAGTGCATAATTCAGTAGCATTAAATACATTCAAAACATTATACAACCCATACCACTACTCATTTTTAGAACTTTTTCTCCATCCTAATCAAATACTGTGTAACCATTAAACAATGACTTTCCGTTCCTCCCTTGCCATATCCCATACTAACTGCTAATCTACTTTCTAACTGTATAAATTTGCTTATTATAGGTACATTATATATGTGAAATTATTTAATATTTGTCATTTTGTCTCTGGCTTATTTGACTCAGCATAATGTTTCCAAGGTTCATCTATGTTGAAGCATCTTTTAGGATTTCATTATTTTCAAGGCTGAATAATATTCCATTGTATGTGTATATTTATTGTATGTGTATCCCTTTGTGTGTTTATATCATGAATGTTTTATCTATTCATCTGTTGATAGAAATATGGGTTGTTTCCTCCTTTTGGCTATTGTAAAACAAACTGCTACAAACACTACTCTGTATATATCTCTTTTAGTTCCTGCTTTCAATTCTTTTGAGTGTTATATACCTGGGTGTGTAATTTATACACTATATAGTAATTATGTGTTTAACATTTTCAGAAATCAACAATTTTACACATTTTCTCTGATATTTTACATCCTACCAGAAATCTTAAGATTTTCAATTTCTCCAAGTTATTAACAACAGTAGTTAATTTTCACCTTCCTAAGTGTTGTGAAGTGGTATTTTATCGTTTTTATTTGGATTCCTGCTGTGGCTACTGATAGTAAAAATATTTAAACTTTCTTATGGGCCATTTGTGTACCTTCTTTAAAAATGACTACTCAAGATTTTACCAATTTTTGAGTTTAGTCGCTTTATTTATTTCTTTTTGTTGTGTTGCAGGAGTTCTTTAAATACTCTGGATATTAATGTCTCATAAAATATATCATTTGCAAATATTTTCTCATATTCTATAGGTTGCCTTTTCACAACTAAATAATAATGCCCTTTGATGGAGAGAAGTTTTTGATTTGGATGAAATCCAGTTTATCTATTTTCTCTTGCTACCTTTGTCATATCCAATACATGATTACAAATCTGTCAAAAATATTTTCTCTATGTTTTCTTTTAACAGAGAACCTCAGTTTGCTAATATTTTGTTGAAGTAGTTTGTATTAGTATTCATAATGGATATTAGTCTGTAATAATTTTTCCCTTGTGATGTTGTCTGGTTTGTTTTCAGGGTAATAATGGCCTCATAGAATGAGGCTCTTAGTGTTCGCTTAAATTTTTTTTTGAGAAATATTAGTGTTAATTATTTAAGTGTTTGATTGAATTCTCCAGTGAAATCATATGTTCCTGTTGTTGTTGTTTTTGAGAGCTTTTTTATCAATTGCCTTACTTTTCTCAGGTGAATTCAGATATTTTCTTATTTCTTCATGAGTCAGTATTAATAGAGTGCATTTTCTAGAATTTATTTATTTACATTAAATTGGTTTTTGTGAATACAATTATTCATAGTATTCTCCTTTTGTCATTTTTTTATTCCTCTAAAATCAGGAGCAATGCCCCTGTTGTAGTCTGTTTCTCTAATCACTATCATGAGAACAGCATCTGAAAAAGCTCCCCCATGATTCAATTACTTTCCACCAAGTCCCTTCCATAACAAGTAGGGATTATTACAATTCAAGGTGAGATTTATTTGGGACACAGAGCCAAGCCATATCAGTTCCCAATTTCATTTCTTTTATTTTTTGTCTCCAACTTTAATTTTAGGTTCACAGGGTACATGCGCAGTTTTGTTATATGGGTAAGTTGCAGGTCGTGGAACTTTAACATACAGAATATTTTTTCACCAAGGTAATGAGCATAGTAACCGATAGGTAGTTTTACAATCCTCCCCCTCCTCCCACCTTTCACCTTCAAGTAGACCCTGGTGTACATTGTTTCCTTCCTTGAGCTTATGTGTACTCAATATTTAGTTCCCACTTATAAGTGAAAACGTGTGATATTTGTTTTTCTTCTCCTGTGTTAAATCGCTTAAGACAATGATCTACAGCTGCATCTGTGTTGCTTCAAAAGACATGATTTTGTTCTATTTTATGGTAGTGTAGTATTTCTACATGCCATATTTTCTTTATTCATCCCACTTTTGGACATCTGCTTTGATTCCACATCTTTGCTATTGTGAATAGTGCTGTAATGAACATTTGTGTGCATGTGTCCTTATGGTAGAATGATTTGTATTTCTTTGGGTGTATACCCAGTAATGATATCACTAGGTCAAATGTTAGTTCTAAGTTCTTTGAAAAATCTCTAAACTGCTTTCCACCAACAGTGTATAAGTGTTCCATTTTCTTCACAACCTCCCCTGTATCTGTTATTTTTTGACTTTGTGATAACACCCAATCTGACTGATGTAAGATGGCATCTCATTATAGTTTTGATTTACATTTCTCTGATGATTAGAAATAAAGAGAATTGGTTATATGTTTGTTGGCCCCATGTATGTCTTCTTTTGAGAAGTGTCTGTTTGTGTACTTTGCCTATTTTTTAGTGGGGTTATTTGTTTTTAGCTTGTTGATTTATGTTCTCTATAGGTTCTGGATATTAGGCTTTTGTCAGATGCATAGTTTGTGAATATCTTCTCCCATTCTGTAGGTTGTCTGTTTACTCTGTTGATAGTTTCTTTTGCTGTACAGATGCTCTCCAGTTTAATTAGGTCTTACATGTCAATTTTTGCTTTTTTTTTGCAATTACTTTTGGCATCTTCATCATCAAATCTTTGCCAGGTCCCACGTCCAGAATGATATTTCCTAACTTTTCTTCTTGAGTTTCTACAGTTTTAGGTGTTACATTTAAGTCTTTAATCCATTTCCAGTTAATTTTTGTATATGGGGAAAAGGAAGGCTTAAGGCTCAATATTAAGCATATGGCTTAATATTATGCTATTGGATTTATCCAAGCACAATTTATTGAATAGGGAGTCTTTTCCTCATTGCTTGTTTTGGTTGGTTTTGTTGAAGATCAGATGGTGTTAGGTTTATGGTTTATTTCTCAGTTTTCTATTCATCTGGTTTTTTTTTTTTTTTTTTTGCTAGTACCAAGTTCTTTTGGTTACTGTGACTTTATAGTATCATTTGAAATCAGATATTTCAATGCCTCCAGCTTTATACTTTAGCTTATAATTGTTTTGTCTATTCAGGCTCTTTTTGATTGCATATAAATTTAAGAATACCCTTTGCTAATTGTGTGAAGAATGACATTGGAATAGTAATAGGAATATCATTGAATCTTTAAATTGCTTTGGGCAGTATGGCCATTTGTAAAATACTTATTTTTCCAATTTATGAGCAACAAATGTTTTTCATTTATTTGCATTATCTGGTTTATTTTAGCAATGTTTTGTCATTCTACTTGTAGAGGTCTTTTACCTCCTTGATTAGCTGTATTCCTAGGTATTACATTTTCCTTGTGGCTATTGTAAGTGGGATTGGGTTCCTGATTTCACTCTCAGCTTGAACTTTTTTTTTTGTATATAGAAATGCTACTGATTTTTATACATTGGTTCTGTATCCTGAAACTTCATTAAAGTAGTTGATCAGTTCTAGGGGCCCCCTGGTAGAGTTTTTAGAATTTTCTTTGTATAGAATTATATTATCCATAAGTAGAGATAGTCTGACTTCTTCTATTTATATTTGAATGCATTTGCTTATTTATTTTGCCTGATTTTCCTAAGTAAGACATCCAGTACTAGGTTAAATATGAGTGGTGAGATTAGGCCTTCTTGTCTTGTTCCATTTCTCTAGGGGAATGGCTTGAGCTTTTGCCCATTCAATATGATGTTGGCGGTGGATTTGTCTTTGATGGCTCTTAGTATTCCATGGTATGTTCCTTCAATGCTTAGTCTGTTGGGGGTTTTTATCATGAAGGGATGTTAAATTTTATCAAAAAAAATTTCTACATCTATTGAGATGATCACTTGTTTTTTTTTATTTAATTCTGCTTGTGTCTTAAATCACTTTATTTGTGTATGTTGAACCAGCCTTGCATCCCAGGAATAAAGTCTACTTGATCATAGTATATTCACTGATGTGCAGCTGAATTTGGTTTGCTAATATTTTGTTGAAGACTTTTGTGTTTATGTTCATAAGTGGTATTGACCTGAAGTTTTTGTTGTTGTGTCTCTGCCACATGTTGGTATTAGCCTTATACTTGCTTGCTAGAATGAGTTAGGAAGGTGATCCTCCTCCCCACTTTTTTGGAATGGTTTTAGTATGATTATTATCATTAGTTTTGTTTTTGTTTTTGTTTTTGTTTTTAAGACAGAGTTTCTCTCTGTCTCCCAGGCTGGAGTGCAACGGCGTGATCTTGGCTTACTGAAACCTCTGTCTCCCTGGTTCAAGTGATTCTCTTGCCTCAGCCTCCTGAGTAGTTAGGAATACAGGCATGTGCCACCATGCCTGGCTAATTTTTCATATTTTTAGTAGAGACAGGGTTTCACCATGTTGGCCAGGCTGGCCTCGAACTCTTGACCTCAAGCAATCCACCCCCCTTGGCCTCCCAAAGTGCTGGGATTACAGGCATGAGCCACCGCTCCCAGCCTAGTTTTTCTTTATATATCTGGTAAAATCTGGCTGTGAATCTATCTGGTCTAGGACTTTTTTTGGTTGGTAGTTTCTTCATTACTGATTCAACTTCAAATTTTGATAATTATCTAATGAGGGTTTAAATGTGTTCCTGATTCAACCTGGTGAGATTGTATGCTTCCAAGAATTTATTTATTTCCTCCAGATGTTCTAATTTGTGTGCATAGAGTAGTTCATAGTAGTCCCTGAGGATTTTTTGTATTTCTGTGAGATCAGTTATAATATCACATTTGTCTTTTTATATATATATATATTTTTATTATACTTTAAGTTCTAGGGTACATGTGCACAACGTGCAGGTTTGTTACATACATATAAATGTACCATGTCGGTGTGCTGCACCCATTAACTCATCAATTTTTTTGATTGTGTTTATTTGGATCTTTTCTTTCTTTGTTTAGCTATCAGTCTGACAATCTTATTCATTTTTTCAAATCAGCCACTATTGGTTTTACTGAACTTTTATATGGATTTTTGCATCTTCATTTCATTAATTTCTTCTCTATTTTTAGTTTTTATTTTGTTCTGTTGGCTTAAGTGTTGGTTTATTTATTTTTTTTAGTTTCATTAAGTTCAAAGTTAGAGAGTTAATTTGAGATATTTTTGTCTTCTTGATAAAGGCATTTAGGGCTATAAACTTTCCTCTTAACACTGCTTTCGGTGCATCCCATAGATTTTGGTTAGCTGTTTCTCTACTTTCAATAATTTTAAAGAATATTTTGATTTCTGCCCTAATTTCAATGTTCACCTAGGTTTTATTCAAGAATAAGTTGTTTCATTTCCATGGATTTTTGTAGTTTTGAGAGATCTCTTTGATATTGATTTCCATTTTTATCACACTGTTGTTTGAGATTGTGCTTGAATTCACTGAGACTTGTTTTATGAACAAGCATATAGTTGATTTTAGAATATGTTCCATGAGCATATGAGAAAAATTTATATTCTAAGGTTGTTTCGTGGAGTGTACTGTATATGTTTGTTACAGATAGCCATTAGAGTGGCAGGAGAAGGGCCCCCCTACCCTTCACACACCAGGAATGTCAAATGATCAGGTGATGGTTTGAAAATTATCCCATTGACCCTCTATAAATGATAATCGACAGCCGGCCTCAGGGAAAGACAATCTCCTAATGGTCCACAGCTGTTAACATTACAGTGTTAATTGAATGCAGGTGCCAGGAAGAAGGGAGGATTCCAATAAAATCTCATGTATTGGATGAGTGAGCCTGGGCATGTGCATTAAGAAGCACAATGATGGAGTATGACCTCCCAGGGACACTCCACCGGAAAAGCAAAGAAAAGCCTCAGATGGGCATGTGTACAACTTCCTAAACACACTGCACATGCTCACTTCCCAAGTATAAAGTTCTATGATCAAGGTTAAACACTGCACTGTTTCTTCAAGTTGCCCACTTGGATCTCTTCCAAGTGCACTTTCCTTTCTTTCCTGTGCTAAAGCTTTTTAATAAACTTCTACTCCTGCTCTGAAACTTGCCTTGGTCTCTTTTTCTGCCTTATGCTCTTCAGGCGAATTATTTCTTCTGAGGAGGCAAGAATTGAGGTTGCTGCAGACCTATACTAATTTGCTACCTGTAAATCAGATACCTTCAACTGGTAACATGTTTATTAGGTAAGTGTCAAGTTTAAGTCCAGACTTCCTTTGTTAATTTTCTGCCATAATAATATGTCTAATGCCATCAGTGGGGTTCTGGAGTCTACTATTACTATTGTGTGATTGTCTAAGTATTTTATAGGCCAAGAAGAACTTGTTTTATGAATCTCGGTGCTCCAATGTTAGCTATGTATACATTTAGGGTAGTTAAGTCCTCTTGTTTGATCGTACCCTTTTTTGTTATGTAATGGCCCTCATTGTCCTTCTTCATTTACATTAGTTTAAAATCTGTTTTATCTGACATAAAAATAGTGACTCCTGCTCTTTCTGTTTTCCATTGGCATGGTAGATTTTACTCCACCCTTTTACCTTGAGCTCATGGGTGTTTTTACATGTAAAATATGTCTCTTGAATACAACAGATGGTTGGGTCTTCTATTTTTATCCAGCATGCCACTCTATCTCTTTCAAATGGGTTGTTTAGTACATTTACATTAAAGGTTAGTATTAATAACCATAATTTTAATCCTTTCATTTTGTTGTTAGCTGTCTGTTATGTAGATTTGATTGCATAGTTGCTTCACAGTACTTTGAGCTATATGCGTAAGTGTGCTTTTGTGGTAGCAGGTGTCATTCTTGTTATTCTATGTTTAGCACTCCCTTAAGGATCTCTTGTAAGAATAATCTAGTTGAAATACATTCCCTCAGCATTTGCTGTCCAAGGAGAATTTTATTTCTCATTCACGTATGAAGCTTAGTTTGGAGAGATATAAAATTCTTTCTTGAATTTCTTCCTTTTAATGATACTGAAAATAGGCCCCATTTTTTTCTACAAGCGTAATATTTCTGCTGAGAAGTTTACTGCTAGCCTGGTTGAGTTCCCTCTGTAAGTGACCTGGCCCTGCTCTCTAGCTTTCCTTAAAATTTTTCTTTTGCATTGATTTCAGTAAATATAATGACCATGTACCTTGGGAATGGTCATATTGTATAAAATCAGTCCGGAGTTCTTTGTAATTCATGGATTTTTCAGTTTCTCTAATGAGATAATAAAGTTTCATGGACCTAATTCTCAAATATATTTCCCAAGTTCCTTGTACTTTCTCCTCCTCTCTCAGGAATGTTGACAAGTTGTAGATTTGGATTCTTTACATAATTCCATATTTTATTTTTTGGAAGTTTTTCTCATTTTTCTTAATTTTTAAAAATTTTTTGTCCATTCAAATAACTTGTCTTTGAGCTCTGAGATTAATTCCTCAACTTGGTTTATTCTGCTGTTAATAAATCCAGTTTTACTGTGAAATTCTTGTTGTAAAATTTTCAGCTCCTGAAGTTCAGTTTTGTTCTTTCCTAGAATGGCTATCTTGTCTTTCAGCTCTTGAATAATTTTACTCTATTGCTTGGTGTCCTTGAATTGAATTTCAACTTTCTCCTCTATCTTGATGAGCTTCGTTGCCATCCACATTTTTAATTTCATGTCAGTTATTTCAGACATTTCAGGCGGGTTAAGAAGCATTGCTGCAGAATTAGTGGGCTCGTTTTAAGAGGACATACTGGCTTTTTAAATTACTCAAGATCTTGTGCTGACTTTTTCTCATCTGGGAATGTTGTCATTCCTTTAATTTTGGTGTAAATGGGAGTATAGTCAGTTGGCTTCATTTTTGGTAGTTTTCAGAGCATTAAAGTTCTGTATAGGGTCTTTGTAGTCAAATTTTTGCTTTTGGTTTCACAGAGTGGGGAGAATTAGTAAACATTTTTAGTGTTGTAGTTTGGGCAGCGATCCAGTAAATGGCACTTGTGAACAGTTGGCAGTAGACAGGCTCTTACTCAGCCACATGGCTCATTTGTGTATACTTGAATTTTCAGTTGTTTTCTGTGGTGTGAGATGAATAGAAGTGACCTCCTCACCAGTTCTGCTCTTAGGCCTTGGGGAACCCACCTCTGATCATTGGCACTGTACCCACAATTTTGTTGTTGTTGCTGTTGTTAGGTCTTCAGGGCCATGGGGCTCCCTTGTAGAGAGGTTCAGTAGAGAGATAGCCCACTCTCCTACTAGACCAGCACTGTGGAGGGAGGCATGCCTAAGTCCCAGATCAGCACTTGAAACTGTGAAACTCGCCACTCTTATTTTTCTGAGAGTGTGGGCTCCTACTCTACTCAAATGCTGCACACAGATTCCTGGCTTGGCACTCCTGAGCCACAAGCTACAGCCCTGGGTAACAAGGACCTGCTCATGGTTCCTTCCTACCAACACTCAGGGATAGGTTCTAGGTGTGTTGGGGTATCTGAAGGACTCCCAGACTGCTGGAACTAAACCAGGTGGAGCAAAGCACACAGAATGGGCAGCAGAGGTTGCACTGTGTACACATTCTTGTGGAGTGACCAGGCAGAAGCTCTGGAAGGTTCTGGTAGGCCTGCAGCTCAGATATGTCTCAGTCCCAAGAGGAAGCAGTCCCTTATTTCTCCCTGGAAGTTAGCTTGGACCAGAGCCTCTCAGAGGGAGATGAGCATCCCTGGGGGGTCAGCCCTTATTGCTGGGCTCTACTAGAGCTGTCCCATGCCCAAATGTCCCTGGCTCTGTGCCTGCTGCAGCTTCATCTCTGCCTAATCTCTGAGGAGATCCCCCTGCCAGCTAAAATGTCTGTGGATGCTGCAGGAATCCTCTGAAGCTAGGATCCCAGAGGTCCACAGCAAAAGTGGGAATTCCCTCAGTCTCTTCACTTACCCCTTTCCTAGGTGCCATTCGGGGCCAGGGATGAGCCCTGGCATTCAGGCAGGCTTCCAAGTTTTCTTCATATTTAGCCTCAGCATCTGCATATTTTATCCATCCACATTGATCATATTCCTTCTGGAGATCTGTTCAAATTATGTACATTAAATGAAATCCCAATCTCTGTGGGAGTGGCACTTCCCGGCTGCATCTAGCTGACTATCTTCCAATAGGTCTCCAATGTTCCTCTATTGTTTAT
This sequence comes from Homo sapiens, assembly GCF_000001405.40. Classification (NCBI taxonomy): domain Eukaryota; kingdom Metazoa; phylum Chordata; class Mammalia; order Primates; family Hominidae; genus Homo; species Homo sapiens. The sequence goes on along the minus strand of NC_000023.11, from coordinate 79,298,414 downwards.
TTATCTCGGATCTATTGTTATTGTTTTCCTCTTTTAATACATTTGAACTATTTGCTCTTCTTTTCCTAGTTCCTTCAAGGCGTAAAGTTGTTAAAGAATTGAGATCTTTCTTGCATTAGAATGTAGTCATTACTGCAATAAATTTTGCATTTACCACTACTTTCACTACATCTCATAAATTTTAGTGTTTGTGTTTTCATTTTATCTCAGTTATTTTTAAATTTTCTTTGTAATTTCTAATTGTATCCATTTAAACTTTTAGTGTGTTGTTTAATTTCCACATACTTGTGAATTTTCTAGTATTCCTTCTGTTATAGATTTCTAGTTTTCTTGTGAGCAAAAATATTACTACATATAACTTAAAACTAAAAAAATAATAATTAAGACTTGTTCTGTGGCCTAAGACATGTTCTATCTTGGAGAGATAATCCACATGCATCAAGGGAGAGACCTGGTTGGAGGTGATTGGATCATTGGGGCAGTTTCCCTCATGGTGTTCTCATGATAGTGAGTGAATTCTCATGAGATCTGATGGTTTCCTGAGGGGCTCTTCCCCCTTCACTCTTTGCTCTTCTTTTCTCTCTCCTGTCACTTTGTGAAGAAGGTTCCTGTTTTGCCTTCTGCCATGATTATAGGTTTACTGAGGCCTCCCCAGCTATGTGAAACTGTGAGTCAGTTAAAGCTTTTTTCTTTACAAACTAACTGGTCTTGGGTATTTCTTTATATCAGTGTGAAAACGGAATAATACAACATACCAGTAGGTCTTGGTTCTTTAACCAGCTTGTAATTCTGTGCCTTTTAATTGGGGAATTTAGTCCATTTACATTCAAGGTTTATATGATATGTGTAGATTTGATCCTATCTTCATGATGTTAGCTGGTTATTATGCAGACATTTTTGTGGTTGCTTTATAGTGTCACTGCTTTGTGTACTTAAATGTGTTTTTGAAATGGTTCATAAAGTTCTTCCCTTTCAATATTTAGTGCTTCCTTCAGGAGCTCTTATAAGGCAGGTCTGGTGGTGATGGATTTCATCAGCATTTGCTTGTCTGGAAAATATCTTATTTCTCCTTCAATTATGAAGCTTAGTTTGGCTGGATATGAAATTCCTTGTTGGAATTTCTTTCAGAATGTTAAGTATTGGCCCCTAATCTCTTCTGGCTTTTAGAGTTTCTGCTGGGAGTTCTACTTTTTGTCTTATGCCATTCTCTTTGTAGGTGACCTGACATTTCTCTCTAGCTGCCTATAAAATTTTTTCCTTCATTTGACCTTAGATAATTTGATGACTATATATCTTGGGAATAATTTTCTTAAGAAATATCTTACTGGAGTTTTCAGCATTTACTGAATTTTAATGTTGGCCTCTCTAGCAAGATTGGGGAAGTTCTCAGGAATGTTATCTTGAAATAAGCTTTCCAAGTTTGTCCCATTCTCCTCATCTCTTTCAGGACACCAAATAGAGGTAGATTTGATCTATACATAATCTTATATTTCTCCAACATTTTGTTCATTCCTCTTTATTTTTTTCTCTTTTTAAAACTTGTTTTCTTTTTATTTCTTTTATTTCAATAGTTTTTGGGGGTACAGGTGGTTTTTGGTTACATGAATGAGTTCTTTAGGGATGAATTCTAAAATTATAGTGCACCAATCAGGCAAGCAATGTACACTGTACCCAATATGTAGCCTTTTATTCCTCACCCTCCTTCCAGCATCCCTGCCAGAGTTCCCAAAGCCCATTATATCTCTCTGTATGTCTTTGTGTCCTCATAGCTTAGCTCCCACTTATAAGTGGCAACATACGGCATTTGATTTTTCATTGCTGACTCACTTTACTTAGAATAACAAGTTCCAGGCCGGGCGCAGTGGCTCACGCCTGTAATCCCAGCACTTTGGGAGGCCGAGGTGGGCAGATCACCTGAGGTCGGGAGTTCGAGACCAACCTGACCAACATGGAGAAACCCCATCTCTACTAAAAATACAAAAAGTTAGCCAGGAGTGGTGGCCCATGCCTGTAATCCTAGCTACTTGGGAGACTGAGGCGGGAGAATCGCTTGAACCCGGGAGGCAGAGGTTGCGGTGAGCCGAGATCACACCATTGCATTCCAGCATGGGCAACAAGAGCAAAATTCCATCTCAAACAAACAAACAAAAACAAACAAACAAAAAAAACAACTTCCAGCTCTATCTAAGTAGCTGCAAAGACATTATTTTGTTTATTTTTATAACTGAGTAGTATTTTATGGTGTATATACAATCATATTTTCTTTATCCACTCATTGGTTGATGTGAACTTAAGTTGGTTCCACATCTTTGCAGTTGTGAATTGTTTTGCTATAAACATGCATGTGCATATTTCTTTTTCACACAGTAACTTCTTTTCCTTTGAGTAATTACCCAGGAGTGAGATTGCTGGATCAAATGGTAGTTCTTCTTTTAGCTTTTTAAGGAATCTCCATGCTATTTTCCATAGTGTTTGTATTAATTTACATTCCCACCAGCAGTATAAAAGTGTTCCCTTGAGACTTTACTGGATTCCTTTATGGATCTAGGAGCTCTATGGGTGAGTCTTTAGGGTTTTCTAGGTATACAATCACATCAGTGGTGAACAGTAGAATTGGTGAAAGTGGAAATCCTTGTCTTGTTCCAGTTCTCAGGGAGAATATGCTTTCAAATTTTTCCATTCAGTATGATGTTGACTGTGGGTTTGAAATATATAGTTTCTATTACTTTAAGGTAAGTCCCTTCTATACCTAGTTTTTGAGAATTTTTATTAGAAAGGGATGCTGGATTTGATCAAATCCTTTTTTTCTTTGTCTATTGAGGTGATCATATGGTTTTTGTTTTTAATTCTGTTTTTGTGAGGTATCACATTTATTGACTTGCATATGTTTTACCATTCTTGCATACTTGGGATGAAACCAACATGATCATGGTATATTATCTGTTGAATGTTCTGTCAAATTCTGTTAGGTAGCATATTTTTCTGAGAACTTTTGCATCTATGTTTATCAGAAATATTGGTTTATAGTTTTTGTTGTTGTTGTTGTCCTTTTCTGGTTTGGATATTAGGGTGATACTGGTTTCATGGAATGTTTAGGGAGGATTCCCTCTTTAATTATATTTTGGAATAGTTTCAGTAAGATTGCTACTAATTCTTGGAATGTCTGGTAGATTCAGCTGTGAATCCATCTGGTCCTGGACTTTTTGTTGTAGGTAATTTTTTTTTTTATTACTGATTCTATGTCACAGCTTGTTATTGGTCTGTTTAGGGTTTCTATTTTCTTCCTGATTTATTCCAGTTGTGTTCTGTGTTTCTAGAACTTTATCTGTTTTCTCTAGGTTTTCCAGTTTGTGTGTGTAAAAATGTTCATAGTAGACTTAAATTTTTTTTGTATTATCATTTGTAATGTTTCTTGTTTAATTTCTAATCAAGCTTATTTGAATCTTCTCTCTTCATTTATCGGTTAATCTCACTAATGCTCCATCCATTTCATTTATTTTTTCAATAACCAACTTTTGCTACATTTATCTTCTGTATTTTTTTGTTTCAATTTTATTTAGTTTTTCTCTGATCTTTGTTATTTCTTTTCTTCTGCTGGCTTTGAATTTAGTTTGTTTCTGTTCCTCTAGTTCCTTGAAATGTGACATTAGGTGGTCAATTGGTGCTCTTTCAGACTTTTTAATGTAGTCATTTAATGCTATAAACTTTCCTGTTCACATGGCTTTTACTGTATCCCAGGCATTTAGATAATTTGTGTCACTATTATCATTCATTTCAAAGAACTTTTAAATTTCCATCTCAATTTTATTGTTAACCCAAAAATTATTCAAGGGCAGATTACTTAGTTTCCATGTATTTGTACAATTTTGAGGGTTCCTTTTGGAGTTGATTTCTCATTTTATTCCACTGTGTTCTGAGAAGATAGTTGATATGAGGTCAATATTCTGAATTTATTGGGATATTTTTGTGACCGAACATATGGTCTATCTTGGAAGATGCTCCATAAGCTGATGAGAAGACTGTGTATTGTTCAATTTGTGGGAATAATGCTCTGTAAGTATTTGTTAAGTTCATTTTTTTCTAGGTATACTTCAAATCCATTTTCTTCTTAGTTAACTTTCTGTCTTTATGATCTGTCTGGTGCTGTCAGTGGAGTATTGAAGTTCCCCACTATTAATGTGTTGCTATTTATCTCACTTCTTAGGTCCAGTAGCAATTGTTTTATAAATCTGGAAGCTTCAGTGATAGGTGCATATAAATTTAGGAGTGTAATATATTCTTGTTGCGCTGATCCTTTTATCATTATATAATGTTCTTCTTTGTCCTTTCTTTTTTTTCTGTTTCTGCTTTAAAGTCTGTTTTGTCTGATATAAGAATAGCTACTCTGCTCACTTCTGGTTTCCACTTGTGTGGAATAACTTCTTCCATCTCTTGACCCTGAGTTTATATGAATTTTTATGTGTTAGGTCAGCCTCTTGAAGAGAACAGATACTTGGTTGTTTCTTCTTCTTCTTCTTTTTTTTTTTTTAACCATCCTGCCATTCTGTATATTTTAAGTGGAGGATTTAGGCCATTTATGTTCAAAGTTAATAGCACTAAGATGTGAGGTACTATTGTATTCATTATGCCAGTTGTTACCTAGATTATTTGTTTTTTAAACTGTGCTATTGTTTTATAAGCTCTGTGAGATTTATGCTTTCAAGTGGTTCTATTTTGATGCATATTGAGCATTTGTTTCAAGATTTAGAACTCCTTTTTAGGATTTCTTGTAGTGCTGGTTTGGTAGTAACAAATTCCCTCAGCATTTTTTGTCTGAAAAATACTTTATATCACCTTCATTTATGAAGCTTAGTTTGACTGTATACAAAATTTTGGGCTGACAATCATTCTGTTTAAGGAGGCTAAGGATAGGACCCTAAGCCCTTCTGACTTTAAGGTTTCTGCTGAGAAGTCTGCTGTGAGTCTGATAGGTTTTTCGTTATACGTTACCTAATGATTTTGTCTCACAGTTTTTAGAATTATTTTGTGTGTGTGTTGAGTTTGGATATTGTGATGAGTAAATGCCTGGGTAATAATTTTGCAACAAATTCCCCAGGAGTTCTTTGAGTTTCTTGTATTTGGATATCTATCTAAATCTCTAGCAAGGCCGGAGAAGTTTTCCACAATTATTCCCTTAGATAGATTTTCCAAATTTTAGCCTTCTCTTCTCCCTCAGGAATACCAATTATTCCTAGGTTTGGCTGTTTTACATAATCCCATATTTCTTGGACACTTTGTGCATTTTTAAAATTCTTTTTTCTTGATCTTTGCTTGATTGGGTTAATTTAAATGCCTTGTCTTTGAATTTTGAAATTCTTTCTTCTACATGTACTAGTCTATTTTTAAAACTTTCTACTGCATTTTGTATTTCCCTAAGTGTGCCTTTCATTTTCAGAAGTTCTGACTGGTGTTTTTTTTTCCTTCAACTGTTATTTTAAGTTCAGGGGTACATGTGCAGGATGCGCAGGTTTGTTACACAGGTAAATGTGTGCCATGGTGGTTTGCTGCACAGATCATTACATCACCTATGTATTAAGCCCAGAATTCATTACCTCTTCTCTCTGATGGTTTTTCTCTATGATATATATCCTCTGAACATTTTTATTAATGTCCCAAATTATTTTTTTAAATTTAATAAGTCAGTTTTTACCTTCCTATGGTATCTTCTTAAGAAGCTTAGTAATCAACCTTCTCAATTCTTTATCTGGTATTTTTTTAAAAATTTCATCTTGAATTGGATCCATTGCTAGGGAGCTAGCATGATCTTTTGGGGGTGTGATAGAACCCTGTTTTGTGATATTACCAGAATTACTTTTCTGTGTTTTTCTCATTTGGGTAGACTATTTCTTCAAATTGTCCTTGAATTTATTTTTGATTTGTGGTTTTTTTAAATTTCTTTTTTTTCTCTTAAGGTTGTGACTTTAATATGTATAGTTTATTATTGCCTAATTTGGTTCTTGGTGCTTTTAGGGGTGGTGATTATGTATGAGTTACTTAGTTATAGACAGTCATTTTGTGCTGCTTTCTCAGATTCTGGTTGTAATAGTTATGTACTTGGTGTATAGGCAAAGTTCACTTTCTCCCATGGTTTCAGAATGATAAGGATCTGTTGAAACTTATTTTATACCCCTATGGTGTGCTCTTATTTATTTGTTTTTTCCCCAGTATTTTATTGATTGAGTTGGTGGTTCAGGCTTCAGGTCAGTAGGCGAAGCATCCCTGGATAGGAACCTGTTGTAGCTAAAGCAGGCAGGGATGAAGGTGCCTGGGAGAGCTCTCAACTAGATGCACTGAGGTTTTATCAAGGTGGAGGTTGAGAGCTACTTCAGCTCCTCTGCCAAGCCAGTAGAAAAGCTATCCACCTCCCAGCCTCACTCTTGTGACAGTGTTCTGGCTATTCAGATCAGACAGGCACCTCTCCTTTTCTGAAGGGTTGTTGATATTCTAAGTAGAGAGAAATTGTAACTCTACCTCTCATGCAAGTGTGTACCTGAGGAGTGATCCTCTTGTGTGGATGCAATCACCCTGAATTGTTCCAGGAAGGCTATCTTTAGGTGCATTCACACTGACTTCCTGTGGGAGAAGTCGCAGCTGCGTGTGCAGTGGTGGATAAAGGGGAAAGAAGGACCTCTTCTCCAAGACCCTTCATGATCACAGAGACTGCTTGACTGTTTAGGTAGAGGTGAACAATGTACTTGATGCATGCAGCACTGCAATTGTGTCTCTGCTAATAAATAAATAAATAACACTTTCTTCTAGCAGAAATATCTAGGATTTAAGCCTTGTTGTCATGATTCTTTTGTTCCATGGGGTGTTTCTTTGATGTAGTACACTTGCTCTTTCCTAGGAATAAGAGTTCCTAAGAGCCAGACTACCTATTGCTCTTCTGGGTCTAGCCACCCAAGAGGCTGCCACACTCTGGGCTGCTGGTGAGGAATGTCTGCCAGGGATCTATCTGGTGATGTGACTTATCCTCAACTTTCCCAACAGTGGGTACCAGCACCAGCTCTTATGGGAGTGCCAAGGGAGTGACATAGACTCTGTAAGATCCCTTGGTTTTAGATAGGCTTAGAGTACTGAATTTCTTAAATGCTGGTTAGTGATAGCTGAGCTCGTGCAGTCATTTGCTTCTTTCTGCATGTAGTGTTATTTTATCTAGAGAAGCTGTCATGGACTGTATTGGTTGGCTTCCAGCTAGAAGGTGATGCTTGCAGAAGAGCACCAGCTGCAGTAGTAGCAGTGGGATATGAGCTTGCCCTAAGTTTCCCAGGAAAAGTATTCTGGATTCTCTGGTGATGCAGATGGCTATAAAACTCACAAAAATGCATGATCTTTGTGTTAAGCTAACAAGGAGGGTGAAGGGGCACAACCAGGTTTGGGGAGGGTTAGGTGAGTTTGTGCCCTGACTCTCCGCAAAGAGGGCAAGCTGTGAGAGTTGGGAGCTGGTCCTTGGCCTGCTATGGTAATGTTGTAGAGACAAGTATAACTATCTCTGCTGCACAGAAGAGTTCAAAAAAGGAGTAGGAAGTAGCAGGTGTCAGTAAACCTAACTCAGTTCCCACACAGTGGGCAAGGCAGATCTCACTCCTCCAGTGCTCCACTAACAGCACCGGGTTAAGATCAAGGCAGCCCACAGACAGAACTGAGACCTGCCCCAGGCCATAAACTTTTTCCCCAGAAATAGCAACCGTGGCTTTTAGGCCATGCCTCTCCCCATCTTCCTGAAAGGCTGGGCACCCAGCTCTTGCACTTACATCTGTGGCACACTTCCTGCTTGCTCCCAGGGTTCTGGTCAAGACAATTTATTTCCACTCGAGATTATTTATGAAATTTAGTTTTGAGTTTCTTTCACCCTGTGACCCCTACCTGAGCTTGTTGGCTGAATTCCCCTGGGTCCTCTGTGAGGTATAATCAGGAATGGCTTCCCTTGGTTCACACTGGAGACTGGGAATGCCTGCCAGGTACTTCCCATGCTGCTTTTTACTTTTATATTTCTTGCCACTCTGTAAATCAGTTGCAGCTCTGCACAGAATTATGGCTTTCTCCTGTGGCCTGGATTTTCAGATTCCCGAATGGAGATGTACATCCTGGAGGCAGTCTCTACTCCTCTCACACTTTGGGGGCTTACAGTTTTTCACCTGTCTAAAAGAGTAGGCTGCAGCGTGCCAGTTCTTTCAAAGGGTTAGTGGCTTCTTTTGGTTTTTCTGTTAAGTTCCTGCATTGTTTCTTGGAAAAAAGCTCACCATGTGAATCTCTACACATTACTCTGTGTTTCCAATTGGGACAGGAATGCTAACACTGCCTCCAATCTGCTATTGTGGAAATACTTTTCTCAATTTTTTTCTCTTTTCTTGTCTGACTATATTTCACATATTTAGTCTTCAAGCTCTGAGATTCTTTCCTCAGTTTGGTCTATTCTGCTATTAATACTTGTGATTGCATTATGAAATTTTTGCAGTTTGTTTTTTAGCACTATCAGGCCAGTTGTTTATTTTCTATACTGGCTATTTCGTCTGTCAGCTCCTGTATCATTTTGTTGTGATTCTTAGCTTTCCTGAATTGGGTTTCAACATACTTCTGCATCTCAATGATCTTCATTCTTACCCATATTCTGAATTCTATTTCTGTCATTTCAGCCATCTCAGCCTGATTTGAAACCCTTGCTGGAGAGCTAGTGAAGTCGTTTGGAAGAAAGAAGGCACTACGGCTTTTTCAGTCGTCAGAGTTCTTGCACTTGCTCTTTCTCATCTTTGTGGGCTAGTGTTCCTTCGATCTTTAAATTTGCTGTCCTTTGGATTTTTTTTCCTTTTATCCTATTTGATGACCTTGAGGGTTGATTGTGGTATAAGGTGCGTTCAATTGACTGGCTTTATTTCTGGAAGATTTTATGGGGCCAAGGCTCAGCTTCTAACTTCTGGACCACATGCTATAACTGTGGGGGACTTGTGTCAGATCCTGACTTTGTTCCCTTGCTCACTGAGGTTAGGAACCCATTGTGCTGGGGTGTGTGTCGGTGGTGGTGGGGTACTGAGGTGGTCCCAGACCACTGCACACAGCAATCCAATGGGTGGTGCTAGCCAAAGTATTTTTTATGATGATGGCAGCAGAATTAGTCTTTGTTCCCCATGCCAGCAGCAGCAGCAGCAGCACAGCAGGGTGCATGCTTATCATCCTCAGCATTGTGCTAGCAGGTGCCAGGGTGCCTGCCTCTGTGCGGGCATTCACAGCAGTGGCAGAGGCAGCATAATTGGTGGGGAAGTGAGCAGGAGGCTCCTGCTGTCTACTATGCACATGGTCACATTGGTGGTGGTGCCAGCATGGCGGTGGGTTACTGGTGGTCGCAGGTCTCTGTGCACCCACACGTTCCTGCAGGCAGCAGTGGCTGCTCAGGGTGGGGGAGGGTCCATTGTTCTCTTTGCTTAGTTTCACTCTGGTAGCAGTGTTGGCACAGGTGTAGGGTTGGAGTGCTCTGTGTCTCCAAGGCTCTGCCTGCAATGTCATATGGCAGGAGAGGAAGGGTGGAATGCACTCCCATTGGCAGCTATGCATCACAGGGTGCATGTGTACATGTGTGCTGGCAGGGAAGGGAAGGCAAAATCCACTTGTGCACACATGAACTGGCAAAATAATGTAGAGTTGGCCATGGGCATGGGGGAAGCTGTAGTGATGAGATAAAGTGGGCAGGCTGGTGCATGACCACGGGGGCTTCCCCACTGGAGCTCCTTACCAATTTGGTGCGATTGGCTAGTACAGAAGCTATGATGTGTGCCCCCAGGGCACCTGAGATTACACTGCAAGCAGGCATGGACAGGCTGGGGTCCAGGGGGAGGCCAACAAACCAAGGGGTGCTCAGGTCAAACAGGTCCTATCTGATGGGCAAGACCACCCTGCAGAGTTCAGGTCCTACTGTTCCCTTAGGACTAAAGTCTCCTGTGGGGAACACGTTTAACCTAGGGGGATGGGCATCCCTGACTGTGCTCTGCTACAGATGCTACCACACAGAACTCTCTGGGCTCACCATTTCTCTGGCTTTCTCTGCCAACTCAAGTGTCCGTGCTGGTTGGTGGGAGGAGGGTTCTCCTCCCATTGATTATAGAGGCCTGTGGCTAGGCCAAGTTGCTCCTCGCCCATTCCACTCACCCATTCACCTGGAGATTTTGGGGACCAGGAATGAGTTCCCATGCATGACTGCCCTCTGCAGGGTTCCCATCTTCCTCCCCCTTCAGCCCAGCTTCTGTGTCTTCCCTCTGTCTATTCTCAGTGCCGTCCCTATGAAGGTCTGCTAGGAGTGTGCCAGTGGTCCTGGTCCCTTGGTGTTAGCTTTTCTACCTGGATGTGTCTATTTGACCATCTTGCCCAAATCTCCTTCTTTCAACACTTTAAATATAACACCCTATTGCCTTGTGGCCTCTAAGCTTTCTGGTGGTAAATCAGGAGATAGTCTTACTGTAGGTGATGAGTTGCTTCTATCTTGTTGCTTTCAAGATTCTCACTTTCTTTTTGTCTTTTGACAGTTTGAGTATAATATGTCTCAGTATGTGTCTTTTTGTGTTTATCTTACTTGGTGTTTGTGTAGCTTCTTAAATTTTTAGATTTATGTCTTTTATCAAATTAGGAAATATATTGGCCACTAATTCTTCTACTTTTTGATCTTTCTGACTGTTTTTCTCTCCTTTCTTTCTGGAATCCCCATAATGCATTTTTTTTTAATTTGCTTGACGGTGCCTTGTAAGTCTCTTAGGCTCCGTTTACTTTTCTTCTTTCATTTTTCTTCTGCTCCTTAGACTTGATAATTTTAATTGTCCTGTCTAAAGTTTCCTGATTTTTCTTTTGCCTTCTCAATCTTCTTCTAAACCCATCTAGTGATTTTTTCCCCAGTTATTGTTTCTTAGCTCCAAATTTTTCTGTTTTTTATAAAATAATTCTATCTCTTTCCTGATATTGTCATTTTGTTCACACATTATTTTTCCAATTCCTCCAGTTTTTTGATCATTTGTTTCTTTAGCTCTGTAAGCATATTTAAGACAGTTGTTTTAAAGTCTGTTCTTACAAAGTCTGATATGTAGACTTCCTCAGTGTTGGTGCCTGTTTACACTGTTTTCTTATGTCATGCTTTCCTGTTTCTTTTTTTGCATTGCAATGTTTTTGTTAAGTATTGGATTTTGGCTACTGTAATCTGGCAATTCTTGAAATACAGTTATCTCCCTTCCCATGTTTTTTTATTTCTATTGTTAAAGGCTATAGTGGACCATTTACTTTGAGACCTTTTCAAAATATTATTTGAAAAGGCTGTTTTCTGTTATGTGTGATTACTAAAGTCTCTGTTCCCTTATCTTGTGTTCAGCTAATGTTTTGACAGAACTTTATTTGAATGCCAGAAGCTCTTCCTTTCTTTCAAGATTGTCTCTGTGCTGTGGTGCTCCTTCAACACTTAGCTAAGCTTGCTCTGAGTGTATTGATCAACCCAATGTGAAATCTTAAGGTCTTCTCAGGTATTTTCTGAGAATGTCTTGCCCGATTATATGTGTAGTTTTCTAAATTCTCTCTGTATACATGGCTACTTTTGAATGTCCTACTTTCCCAGAGGTTTCAAGCCCAGCTTTTCCTCTGGGCCTTAGTTGGTCTATTGTATGTTTCCCTTCATCATCTCTTGTAGGCATCTGTAGGTCTGTAGTCAATTTGTAGTTTTTACAAGAAGTGCATGCAGCTTTTCTATATGAGTTCCAAGTTAAGCAACACATGAACGAGTGATTTGTATCAGCCTTTCAGCTAAATTTGTTTTGTTTTTCTCAAACAAATGAACAACAATGAAAAGTAAACAAGAAAACATTACTTAAAGATGTATATCAGCTGGTGGAGTAAGAAGAAAAACCTTCATGAATTGGGAGCTATGGTATAAGAGTATATGATAACTAGCAATGAACATTGAAATCAAATAAACATACAATGGGATAAAAATGGTTACGAGCTATTATATAAATGTTAAAAATATTTTGGAAAGCACTTTGGGAGGCCGAGGCAGGCGGATCACAAAGACAGGAGATCGAGACCATCCTGCCTAACACGGTGAAACCCCGTCTCTACTAAAAATACAAAAAATTAGCTGGGTGTGGTGGCAGGGGCCTGTAGTCCCAGCTACTTGGGAGGCTGAGGCAGGAGAATGGCGTGAACCCGGGAGGCAGAGCTTGCAGTGAGCTGAGATTGCTCCACTGGGCGACAGAGCAAGAATCCTTCTAAAAAAAATTATATATATATATATATATATTATATATATATATATATAATATATACATATTATATATATTATATATATATATTATATATATATATTATATGTATATAATATATATATAATATATATATATATGAAAAGAGAAATTAAGTGTGAAAAATAATAATTATGGGCCCACATCCTAGATTATCGTATGAGCCCAAGAAAGCCAGACATCAGCAGGGAGACGTGCAAAGAAGTAATATAAGTGATATAATTATTTTATTTAACCTTGGAACTACTCAGTAGAAACTGTATCTTCTTGTAATTGGTAAATAAAGAAATATAAGTGTGTGTGTGTGTCTGTGTGTGTGTGTGTGTGTGTGTTAAATACACCATTCTTTTGTAGGACAAGTAGGTAAAAAATGAATTAGGCTAGAAAATATTTAAACTTGCTGATGAAGTTATATATTATATAAACTTCCATACTTCATGAATATTTTATATAAATTATAAACTACATATTTATTTGTACTCTATCTTATGTCTTCTAAAAATGAAAGTAAGACACCGTTCTTTTCAAGCATCAATGGAGTATTTACAAGGACTAATCAGTATTAGATCCCAAGGAAACTCTCAATTCATTCCAAAAATGAAACCATTTACAGTGTATATTCTCTGGTAAACTGTATTACAATTAGAAACTGAACTTATTAAAAGATTCCATTATTCTTAGATCAAAGAAAAAGTAAAAACTGTAATCATAATTTATGTAATAAGAAAACTACTGAGTGTTTAAAACTGAAGGGTAAGGGCAAAGCTATAAGTAGCAACTTGAGACTTTTTATACTTCCTTTAAATAACACTTTATTATTACAAGAAATAAAATAATTGAACTCAAATATCAAAAAGAAAACACAAAGAGATGCCAAGAAATGTAGGAAGATGAAAATAATAAAAATTAAAAACAGAAATCAAAGATTAAGAAGAAATCAAACAGTAGAATAGATGAATAATTTCAAGAGGTTGTTATTTGGAAACCTTAAACAAAGTGGACAATCATTTGAAAAATTAAATCAAATCACAACAAGAGCAAAAGAGAGGAAGACAGTGACAGAGAGAGAGAAAAAAAGAACTAATTCATAAACAGTATAATGAGAAAGGGATATAATCACAAACATGGGGGAACCAGAAAAATTATTAAGAAATAATGCATATAGCACTATGCTAATAAAATATAAAATCTTGATGAATGGAAATTTTGGAGAAAGTGTAAATTACTAAAATTGACCAAGGGAGGACTTTTAAAAGTGAATAATACTCATGTAAAAACTGAAAACTTTTCAAAACTTCACCCAAAGGACTAACATTAATAACTGTGTGGTGAGGCTCACATTCTTGTATGCTACTGGTATGAATGTAAATTGGTATAACAAATAAATTTACCAAGAAGTTGTAAGTGTATTATAAGGGTTTATTGCATTTGACCTAGTATTCCCAGTTCTACAACAGTGTTCTAAATAGTTTTTTTTCTCTAAGGAAGACTATAGGGAAATTTATACAACAATTTTAGGGAAAAGAGAGGTTGGCCCAAGTATTCTATAAAGAGACAAATTACTAAATACTTGTGAGGAAAGAAGAAAGTTACAGAAAATATACATTCCCAGTACTACAGGAGTTAAAGTCAAATCAAATTAAACTTCAATCAAAATAAAGAACTCAAGTATGAGAACAGAAAAATTATAAACAATAAAACTATATAAAGTTAATGTTTAAAAAATCATTTATATAGTTATAAAACTTTATATCAATTTCAAAAATAAGTCTTGAAATAGAAGACATGTAACACAATAAAGAAAAAAACACTTTACATCTCCATCTTATAGTCTATTGATAGATACTATTTTATCTTTGATCTTGAAAGACAATAATAGAATTTTGTTGTATTTAAAAATACCCCCATAAGTATGTTAAAATACTAGAATAACTTCCAATTGTTAGAACAATAAAAAGAGCCAATAAACCTGAGCAATTCAGCAGAAAGAAAGTTGCAACCTGTATGTTAGATTAAAGTTTGCTATCTCTAATATGTAGAGCCTAGTGAGCTCATATGGAGCAAATACCCTATCTCTTCATTTCTTTAAACCCATACCATTGTCTTAAGCTCTTACTGTTACTCTAGTAGACCACGTGGGGTAATGGGGATAATAGGAGAAGGGAGTTTCAGCACCCATTTGAGAGAAGAAAATATAATTAGGTCTCCTTCTGTCCTTTTATATAATCACATGGAAGAAGAAAATATAAAACAGCTCCATAACGGGTGTAGCATTATAATGCAAAGTGTCTTGGAATCTGACTAGAGTTGTATTTCACCTTTGGGGGAGGATCAAGGAGGAATGTAGAAAGGGAATGGGGATTTTTTTTTCACCTTTTGTTATAAAGCATACAACAAAATATTTGTTTAGAAATGATGGTTTACAGAAATGGTGGTTTACCATATTTCTGTAAACTTCCACTTTGTACTTTGCAAATTTTTCATTTTAGATTGTCAGTGAGCATGTACTGATTTTAAAACTAGAATAGGCAATATATATTAAGATAATGTGCATTTTATTTAGAAGTGAATTTCATGTGTTTTTTTTTTTCTGTGGAAAGGGTGGCATTGAAAAGCCATAATAAACTTCTATTTCTATAATGAAAAACAAAAGCATGAACTCATTCTTCAAGTTTATTTTTTCATTCTATTTATTTGTTCTGTTTCTGAACTGGATTTCTAATTGCTCATTATATTTTAAAAGTCACTTTGTCCAGTCTCGTTGAAAACTGTGGCATAATCTTTTGTTGCTCTCTCACTAACAGTACACATTGAGGAAGAATCTATCATATATAAGTATACAGAATTTTTTTAAAAAATTAAAGATTATCTGTTTGTAGACCTTCTAACTTAGTTTACTCCTTCTACACACTGAATTACAGCCAGCTTATTAGTAGTATTAACCTGATTAATTTCCAAGTCAGTAGGTGTGCAGTATGTTCAGAATAAACTTCATTTAATTATTAGAATCAACAGTTGAAGGGTAATGTGCCATAGGGCTGGGGATATAAAGTTAAGTTAAACATGGTCACTGACTGATATGTTTTTTCTGTGTCCCCACCCAAATCTCATCTTGAGTTTTAGCTCTCATAGTTCCCACGTGTTGTTGGAGGGACCTGGTAGGAGGTAATTGCACCATGGGAGCGAGTCTTTCCCATGCTGTTCTTGCGAGAGTGAATAAATCTCATGGGATCTGATGGTTTTGTGAAGGGGAGTTTCCCCGCACATACTCTCATGCCGCCGCAATGTAAGATGTGACTTTGCTCCTGCTTCATCATCCACCATGATTGTGAGGCCTCCCCAACCATGTGGAACCATGAGTCAATTAATCCTCTTTTCTTTATAAATTACCCAGTCTCGGTATGTCTTTATTAGCAGTGTGAGCACAGACTAATACAGTAAATTGGTGCTGGTTAGTGAGGCACTGCTGTAAAGACACCTGAAAATGTGGAAGTGACTTTGGAACTGGATAACAGGCAGAGGTTAGAACAGTTTAGAGGGCTCAGAAGATAGGAAGATATGGGAAAGTTTAGAACTTCTTAGAGACTTGTTGAATGGCTTTGACCAAAATGCTGATAGTGATATAGACAATGGAGTCCAGGCTGAGGTGGTCTCAGATGAGATAAGGAACTTGTTGGGAATAGGAGTGAAAGTGACTCTTGTTATGGTTTAGCAAAGAGATTGCTGGCATTTTGCCCTTGCCCTAGAGATCTGTGGAACTTTCAACTGGAGAGAGGTTATTTAGGGTATCTAGTGGAAGAGATTTTTCTAAGCAGCAAAGCATTCAAGGGGTGATTTGGGTGCTGTTAAAGCATTCAGTTTTATGTATCCACAACGATATGGGTTGGAATTAGAACTTATGTTTAAAAGGGAAGCAGAGGATAAAAGTTTGGAAAATTTGCAGCTTGACAGTGTGATAGAAAAGAACCATTTTCTGATGAGAAATTCAAGCCAGCTGCAGAAATTTGCATAAATAATGAGGAGCCAAATGTTAATCATCAAGATAATGGATAAAATGTTTACTGGGCATGTCAGAGGTCTTCACAGCAGCCTCTCCCATCACAGCCCTGGAGGCATAGGAGGAAAAAATGGTTTTGTGGGCTGGACCCAGGGCCTTGCTGCTTCATGCAGTTTTGGGACTTGGTGCCCTGTGTCTCAGCCATGGCTAAAAGGGGTCAACATTCAGCTCAGGTCATTGATGCAGAGGAGGCAAGTCCCAAGCCTTGGTGGCTTACACATAGTGTTGGGCCTGCGGGTGCACAGAAGTCAAGAATTGAGGTTTGGGAACCTCTGTCTAGATCTCAGAGGATGTATGGAAATACGTGGATGTCCAGAGAGAGGTGTGCTACAGGGGCAGAGCCCTCAGGAGAGCTTCTACTAGGGTAGTGCAGAAGTGAAATGTGGGGTAGGAGGCCCCACACAGAGTCTCCACTGAGGCACTGCCTGGTGGAGCTGTGAAAAGAGGGACACCACCCTCCAAACCCCAGAATCTTAGATCCACAGACAGCTTGCACCATGCACCTGAAAAAGCTGCAGACACTCAATGCCAGCCCATGAAAGCAACCAGGAGAAGGATGAACCCACAGGGGTGGAGCTGCCCAAGACCATGGGAAGCCACCTCTCACATCAGCAAGACCTGGATATGAGACGTGGAGTCAAAGATTTAAGTTCATTTTGGAGCTTTAAGACTTGACTGCCCTGCTGAATTTCAGACTTGCATGGGGCCTGTAGCCCTTTTGTTTTGGCCAATTTCTCCCATTTGGAACAGATGTTCCAAATGGGATGCCTATACCTCCATTGTGTCTAGGAAGTAACTAACTTGCTTTTGATTTTACAGGCTCATAGGTGGAAGAGACTTGCCTTGTCTCAGAAGAGACTTTGGACTGTGGACTTTTGAGTTAATGCTGAAATGAGTTAAGACTTTGAAGGACTGTTGGGAAGGCATGATTGGTTTTGACATGTGAGGACATGAGATTTTGGAGGAGCCAGGGGTGGAATGATACGGTTTACCTGTGTGACCACCCAAATCTCATCTTGAAATGTAGCTCCCATGATAACCACTTTTTGTGGGAGGGACCCAGTGGGAGGTAATTGAATCATGTAGGTGAATCTTTCCTGAACTATTCTTGTGATAGTGAATAAGTCTCATGAGAACTGATGGTTTTATAATGGGGAGTTCCCCTACACATGCTCTCTTGGTTGCCACCATGTAAGACGTGACTTTGCTTCTTCTTCACCTTCTACCATGATTGTGAGGCCTTTGCAGCCATGTAAAACTGTGAGTCAGTTAGCCCTCTTTCCTTTATAAATTATCCAGTCTCAGGTATGTCTTTATTAGCAGTATGAGAATAGAATAATACACTGACCATTAGCAGCTCATAAAGTTCTAGTTCCAGAGATATGTTATTTAAACATTATATTCTCAAGTGCTGAATGCCTTATTTTACTATGATATATGTATATTATTGTTAAAACAATTTATGCATCACTATTTTACACAATTATATTGAATCTACTGTGTCTGTCAGTGTCAACCTCTACAAAGTTATAAAATGAACTATAGAATACCTCATTCATTTAAATTACTAAAAAACTGGAAGGGCACAAAATATTAAAAATACACATTTCTTATTTAGATGCTTTTACATGTGATATGTTTTTTTTGGGCACAATTTTTTTTATATATTTTTATTTTTTATTTTTTTAAATACCTTAAGTACTGGAGTACATGTGCAGAATGTGCAGATTTGTTACATAGTTATACACGTAACATAGTGGTTTGCTGCACCCATCAACCCACCACTTACAATAGGTATTTCTCCTAATGCTCTCCCTCCCCTAGCTCCCCACCCACCAACAGGCCCCAGTGTGTGATGTTCCCCTCCTTGTGTCCATGTGTTCTCATTGTTCAACTCCAACTTATGAGTGAGAACATGTGGTGTTTGGTTTTCTGTTCTTGTGTTAGTTTTCTGAGAATGATGGTTTCCAGCTTCATCCATGTACCTGCAAAGGACATGAACTCATCCTTATTTATGGCTGCATAGTACTGCGTGGTGTATATCTGCCAGATTTTCTTTATCCAGTCTATCATTGATAGGTATTTGGGTTGGTTCCAAGTCTTTGCTATTGTGAATAGTGCTGCAATAAACATACTTGTGCATGTGTCTTTATAGTAGAATGATTTATAATCCTTTGGGTATATACTCAGTAATGGGATTGCTGAGTCAAACGATATTTCTGGTTCTAGATCCTTGAGGAATCACCACACTGTCTTCCATAATTGTTAAACTAATTTACACTCCCACCAACAGTGTAAAAGCATTCATATTTCTCAACATCCTCTCCAGCATCTGTTGTTTCCTGACCTTTTAATGATCACAATTCTAACTGACATGAAATGGTATCTCATTGTAATTTTTGATTTGCATTTCTCTAATGACCAGTGAGGATAAGCCTTTTTTCATATGTCTGTTGGCCACATAAATGTCTTCTTTTGAGAAGTGTCTGTTCATATCCTTCACCCACTTTTTGATGAGGCTGTTTGTTTGTTTGTTTTTCTTGTAAATTTGTTTAAGTTCTTTGTAGATTCTGGATATTAGCCCTTCGTCAGATGGATAGATTGCAAAACTTTTCTCCCATTCTGAAGGTTGCCTGTTCCCCCTGATGATAGTTTCTTTTGCTGTGCAGAAGTTCTTTAGTTTAATTAGATCCCATTTGTCAATTTTGGCTTTTGTTGCCATTGCTTTTGGTGTTTTAGACAGGAAGTCTTTGCCCATGCTTATGTCCTGAATGGTATTGCCTAGGTTTTCTTCTAGGGTTTTTATAGTTTTAGGTCTTACGTTTGAGTCTTTAATCTATCTGTAGTTAATTTTTGTATAAGGTATAAGGAAGGGATCCAGTCTCAGTTTTCTGCATATGGCTAGCCAGTTTTCCCAACGTCTTTTATTAAATAGGGAATCCTTTCTCCATTGCTTGTTTGTTTCAGGTTTGTCAAAGATCAGATGGTTGTAGATGTGTGGTGTTATTTCTGAGGCCTCTGTTCTGTTCCATTGGTCTATATATCTGTTTTGGTACCAGTACCATGCTGTTTTAATTACTGTAGCCTTGTAGTATAGTTTGAAGTCAGGTGGCATGATGCCTCCAGCTTTGTTCTTTTTGCTTAAGATTGTCTTGGCTATACAGGCTATTTTTTGGTTCCTTATGAAGTTTAAAGTAGTTTTTCTCCAATTCTGTGAAGAAGGTCAGTGGTAGCTGGATGGGGATAGCATTAAATCTATAAATTACTTTGGGCAGTATGGCCATTTTCATGATATTGATTCTTCCTATCCATGAGCATGGAATGTTTTTCCATTTGTTTGTGTCCTCTCCTATTTCCTTGAGCAGTGGTTTGTAGTTCTCCTTGAAGAGATCCTTCCCATCCCTGTAAGCTGTATTCTTAAGTATTTTATTCTCTTAGTAGCAATTGTGAATGGGAGTTCACTCATTATTTGGCTCTCTGTTTGTCTATTATTGGTGTATAAGAATGCATGTGAGTTTTACACATTGATTTTTTATCCTGAGACTTTGCTGGAGTTTGTCATCAGCTTAACGAGATTTTGGGCTAAGATGATGGGATTTTCTAAATATATAATCATGTCATCTGCAAACAGAGACAATTTGACTTCCTCTATTCCTATTTGAATACCCTTTATTTCTTTCTCTTGCCTGACTGCCCTGGCCAGAACTTCCAACACTATGTTGAATAAGAGTGGTGAGAGAGGGCATCTTTGTCTTGTGCTGCTTTTCAAAGGGAATGCTTCCAGTTTTTGCCCATTCAGTATGATTTTGGCTGTGGGTTTGTCATAAATAGCTCTTATTATTTTGAGATACATTCCATTGATACCTAGTTTTTGAGAGTTTTTAGCATGAAGGGCTGTTGAATTTTGTTGAAGGCCTTTTCTGCATCTATTGAGATAATCGTGTGGTTTTTGTCATTGGTTCTGTTCACTTGATGGATTACGTTTACTGATTTGTGTATGTTGAACCAGCCTTGCATCCCAGGGATGAAGCCAACTTGATCATGTTGGATGAGCTTTTTGATGTGGTGCTGGATTTGGTTTGCCAGTATTTTATTGAGGATTTTTGCATCGAGTTTCATCAGAGATATTGGCCTGAAATTTTCTTTTTTTGTTGTGTCTCTTCCAGGTTTTGGTATCAGGATGATGTTGGCTTCATAAAATGAGTTAGGGAGGATTCTGTCTTTTTCTATTATTTGGAGTAGTTTTAGAAGAAATGGTACCAGCTCCTCTTTGTACCTCTGGTAGAATTCGGCTGTGAATCCATCTGTTCCTGGACTTTTTTTGGTTGGTAGACTATTAATTACTACCTCAATTTCAGAACTTGTTATTGGTCTATTCATGGATTTGACTTCTTTCTTGTTTAGCCTTGGGAGGGTGTATGTTTCCAGGAATTTATCCATTTCTTCTAGATTTTCTGGTTTATTTGCATAAAGGCATTTATAGTATTCTCTGATGGTAGTTTGTGTTTCTGTGGGATCAGTGGTGCTATCCCCTTTATCATTTTTTGTTGCATCTGTTTGATTCTTCTCTGTTTTCTTCTTTATTAGTCTGGCTAGCAGTCTATCTATTTTGTTGATCTTTTCAAACAACCAGCTCCTGGATTAATTGATTTCTTGAAAGGTTTTTCATGTCTCTATCTCCTTCCATTCTGCTCTGATCTTACATGTCATATGTTTCACTGAAAGAAAAATATTTAAGACTAACTGTAATAACTTGGCCACTCTGAGACTACTTATTGACTTTCCTGCTATGTAGTCTTTCCTTGATCAAAGTATTGCTATACATGTGGTTCATTGTCATCATTAACTTAAAAAAGAATAAAAGAATAAAATTCTATGTAATCCAAAGTATTGAATTCTTAAAAGTTAAACCATAGAGTAGTGGAAGAAATTATGAGTTAATGTTTTTCTGACCTTGGCATGGAGAAGTTCTTTCTAGCATAAAAGTAGTGAGCAGAGTGGGGAAAGAAAGGGAAAAATACAAAGCTTAATATTGTTAGGTTCGATTACAACCTAATTTTAAATTACTGTATGTTAAAATGCACTATCAAAATGGAAAGCAAACATTCTGCTGATGAAGTCTGTGCAACATATTCCGTATATAAATGGTTAATACACTAGTAGGTAAACAAAGTTTGAAAGTAATATGAAGGACAGCATTTGTAGTAGAGACTTCCATCTATAAAACTGCTGCAACTATTAGGTGAGAAATAGTAAGTTCCTGAACAAAAACAGTAGAAATGGAAATGGAAAGCCAGCAGGATTTGTTGTTTGATTAAAGTGCAGGCTAGAAAGAGAAGTATCGAGATATAGGTACTGGCTGTTTACCTTTAAATCTACCAAAATCATATGGTATAGTATAGATTTCCAAATGTACTATCACGTCTTCATAAAATAGAGTATGCAAAAAATTAAGCAAAAAGAATTTCATATCAATCCAAAACTACTCACATCCAAATCAATGTTTAACCATAATAACTTTTTCCCAAGTGGTTTCTGCAGTATGCACATCTAGCTAATTTAGACTAGTACTTCACAGTCAACACCTGTGGCTTTCCCTTTAGATACATTGCCAGGCTTTTCTCTGCACTGATTGTCATCAGGGTAATTCCTGTTCCTTGTCCTTCTACCCATTATTATCCTGTCTCCCAGTGGTCTACCAAATTAGAAATCAGCAACAGTTTTTCCAGCACAAATTATATCTTATGTCCCACTTCTATTTCTATTTCTATCCTTTACTACCACACACACACACTGTTGATAAATTTTGTGTTCATATATGACCCTTTCACCACCCATTTCATTATCTTGGCTGTGCTCTTATGATTTTTCTGCTCCCTTAATCAAACCAGCTTACATCAGTGAATATCATTTTTATTTTTACTGAAAAAGGGTTAAGTTTATAAAATATTCCTCTTCCAGATTTAATTCCTATTAGGTATAATATATTTTATTTGGATTGTTAACATTAACTGGGACAATATCTTTATTGATTTACAAACATGTTCATAACATGTTGCTGAGTGGGGAAACGAAATTATGCAATTATGACACAAGTTATTTAATTTTTGTTTTATGCACACAAACACACAAATGTTCACTAAGTCTAGAAAATAAAATACCAAAACAGTAAGAGATGTTTTATCTTGTAGGGGATATTATTGAATTTTTTCTGTTTTGGCCTATCTACGTTACCTAATTTTTCATCAAAAAATGGACTTTATTTGTAGAACAAAAAACTTAAAATTAAAAAAATGAAGCAATGTAATAAAAGCAATATAGAGGTCTTTAGAGACTTAAGTTTACTAACATGGAGAAAAAATGATCTTATGCTTCTTTTTTCTAATCTTTTTTCATAGTTCTCCTGATTGAAGAATAGATCTGGAGCAAATTCTGAAAGTCTCAACTACTCTAGACTCTGTAAATATACAAACTGCTTAAAAATAATAATTTTTTTTCTTTTGGATGTATTCCAAATGTGTTTGTGTGTATGTGTGTGTGTGTGTGTGTGTGTAACAACATCACTGTTTATGCATGTTTGCACAGTTATTCTTTGTATACGGCATGGTTTATTTTCCTCCTCTTTCTGAGGTATGCCACAACACATTAGTAAATTTTAAAAAAATTCATTGAATTTTGAATGAAAATGTTTGAGTGGTCCTAAAGTGTCAACTATGTTTTGTCGACATGTATCTAAATAAACTTTGTAAGACTGGTTTAAAGATCTACTAAAAGCATGATTAATTTAGCACATATTGACACTTTTTAAATCTATGTATCTCATTACTTAATCATAAAATTAAATTTGCATGACATGATCTGTATCTCATAAAGTCTTGGGCTTTTGGTAATGAAAAACTATTATTTGTAGAATAAAATCCTAATTTTTTTTTAAAAAAATGAAGCTGTGTAATAAAAGTAATGTATAGTTTCTTTAGAGACATAAATTTGCTAAAATGGAGAAAAACTGATCTCGTACTTCCCTTTTCTAATCACTTCATGCACATCTCCTAATTGATGAATAGGTCTGTTGTATTTTAATTTAAATTATCTAATGCCTTTTCCAGAGAATTGACTCAAGTTAATAGATTTATCATTCCTAAAGTTGTACTGTTTCTAGTAGATTTGTGTTTAGTTATCTCCTGAAAATCTGTATATGCTCTTTCCTAGTTCTAGGTTTCCTCACCCATCCTTCTATTACATAAATATAATAATATTTAAATAATTGTTGTGATGGGGAAATGTTAGAGCTTTGAAAGTAAAAATTCTGATATAATTTAAAAACAATTTTGCATCAAATAATTTATTATAACTGCTAATCATTAAAAAAATGTTCAATATGAAATGCATGTTAGGCTGTCTGTGTCTGGGAAATTGACTTAGAGAGCTGGGTCACAGATTGAAAAGCCATAGTTGGTGCTGAAAATATGAAGGGAATAAGGCTTTTTTCCATTAACAAAATAGTGGTAACATTTAAAGAAACATAGCTTTTGATAATTTGGAACTAATGAAACTAGAATATCATTACATTTGTCTATTGCTAATTATCCTTCCATTAATTATTGGTCGGTATTCAAAATAATTAGCACTTCCAGCAGATAGCAATCATGGGCAAGAAGAAAAGAGTAGCTGTTTATATGACATGGAAGTTCCAATTCACAAATAAAAAATAAGTCAACCATCTGGATATTTCTAAACACCCAAACATCATCTAAGCAAAACATACAAATAATATGATCTAAACAAAGATACTTTTCATCAAGTTGATTCTTCATTTCATAGCATATCCATTCTGTCTGTCCCACATGTTAAAAATTGGAGTCATGAGATACTTCCTATTCCCTCAGATTCCTGATCTTACTTCTTCTCTATTTCTGGTCTCATTCACTACCAAGGTTCAATCTATCACTCACTATTGTCAATTCCGACTCAAAAAAAATCCTCAAACCCCTTTAACTGAAGTTATCTGTATCCTGGAACTCCTCATTTCTTACCTTGACTGTTTCAAGAAACTTACAACTGATCTTCCTGCCTACAATATTCATTTTTTCCAAATTGTCTTTCACACTTCCAATAGACATTTGCAAGCACATATTTGATCATCAAAGATAGTTTTTTATATTATCCTATTTTATTTATGTAATATTATATTGAAGTCATTTATTTTTACTTATCTTTCTCACTAGACTCTCAGCTCTTTAAAGCCACTGAGATCGTGAATTATTTGCAATTGTCTCTCTAGTGCCTGCCTCTTAGTAGGCTGTCAGTAGTTTTTCTATGAATGAATGAACAGGCAATAAATTTCATACCTCCATGACTTTGCATGAATTATTCCCACTCCTGCAATGCTTTCCTCCCTCTTATTGTGCTTTTTTCTCCCTATTTCACTATAGCCAAGCTTCTTGTCATTTCAGAGCATTTAACACTCTCTTCCCTTCTGTGATGGTCATGCCCTCAATTCTCATCTCTATAATCTACCTAGATCTTTACAATTCTTCAAATATGATTTTAAATGTCATTTCTTCTGATAAGACTTCCCTGACTACCCAGTCCACAAACCCCTGCCTCACCAAAATAGTCTTTCTCACAAGAACTTGTTTTTATTTAAAGATAGATTACTACAATTTTTAATTTAAATATTTATTTTAATTTTTAGAATTAAAAAATTACTGTATTCCCACAGTATACTGTAAGCTCCACTAGAGCAGGAGTTATGGTTTGTTCACTACTGTGTCATTATTCAGAACACTACCTGGCTCATAGTAAGCACTCAACACATGTTTTCAATAATAAATATATGCATGATTGAACAAATGAATAAAAGCAGTCCTAGCCTCTTGACCAATGGTTTGTAGGTCTCAACTTAATCTACTAAAGATGGTAAATATACCTTAGGTCTTTTTTTTTGTCTAAGGAAAAGTCACACCCCTACAAATTAGCAAGTTGGTACTTTCTAGCTTCTTGCTTTATTATCAGTTTCTCTTTTTTTGTTACACTTGAGAAACCCTGGAAAAGAAGATGTAGGGTGGCCTACATTTGCCTGAAGTAATGAAAGGTGCTAAAGAGAACATAAATAAAATGATGTAGATTATCTAAAAAAAAGGAATAGGGCATCAACTTAGATGACTGGAAAGTAGGATATCTCAAAAAGCATGTCACAGAGCAGGAAGGAGATAGATAGGTGCATGGCACTGAAGTAGTACTACTCCACTGGTAAGCTAAACAGAAGAACTATTCTAGAGAAAGGAAGGGATGTCTCTAAAATAGGTCACCTGCTCTTCGTGTTTAAACACATGAATGTCATTCATACAAACACGTGCTTCTTCACAGTAATCAGTGATCAATTTTAAATAAATTTTGTTCATATTTATCTCTTTTCAAATGAAAATAAATATTTTACCTGCTGTCTTAGTCTCCAATGTGCATAAAAGTGTAGAGTTTCTGAGAACTTTTTCTACTATTTTAACAGCAATGGCAAGATTGTAGCTGGGATACATACCAAAGGTCAGTTTGATACAAACAGGGCAGATGCATAGCAGGGAACTACTCAATTTCATGCTGCATTTCATTGTAAATTAATATCTTAACAATGATTTTTAATTATCTTCTTGGCACTGTCTATTTAAAGGTATCCAAGAAATTCAAATTAATTTTGCCAAACTTTTGGTGAATGATTCTATTGGCTCCAGCGCAAAATCCAACCATGAGGTGCCTCTTTTAGCAAATATAAACAGCTTTCAGGAAATAAACACTATTATTTTATGGTGACTTTAAGATTTGCTTTTATGAAAATATTTTATACAAAGCAATTATGCAGCCAAAAGTGCCAGTTGTTTCATTTTGAATTTTAAAACCAGCCAGCAAACATGGACATGGAAATGGCATTTATCTAATAGGAGTGGCCAGGGACTAGTTACTTTGGCTAGTTGAGTGTTTTGTTTAACTAAGAAGTTTCACTTCCCAGTCAACTAGATTTTGCTCCTAGAAGATCCAACAGCAAGAAACTTGGGACTTCAGGGATAATGGTGGGTGAGCCGAGTCCTATGAGAAACACTGAAATAGGTCAGATATGCTTCTTCTGTATATCTAAAGCTTAAGCCCCAGATGGGGTAACAAATCAGAATACAAGCATGCTATCAGTAAGAACAAAGAAAAGACAGTGACTACTGAGATTATTTTTTCAAGAATTACAGTTTGTAAAATCACCTTCATAACATGGTAATACAATGCAGTTCTTAAGAGTGTAATTTTAGATATAGGAATCGAGAGGAGAGAAAGGGTCGTGTAAAATAAAAATTTCAAAAAGATTTTCTTAAGCAGGTAAGATTTGTGATGGGCCTGAAGTAATGGGGGTGGGAATTGCTTGGACGAGTTGCAAGTAGAGAGGGTGACATTTTGTTAGAAAGCCCGCTTGAGCAACATTTTGAGGAATAGGAAGAAAACCAGCATGAGCTGGTGATAGAGAAAGATGAGAGATAAAACATTAGAAGTTTTCAGAGACCATCTGTCTCTGAACAGAAAATCATAGACTAATATTAAAGTGCAGAGTACTCTGTGGGAGCCACACACATTCATCTCTGCCTGTACCCTTGAGAAGTATGGCCAGACCCACTCACACCTGATGCTGATGTGCATTATGTGGTAAAAGCAAATGAAATATTCTCATTTTGGAGTTCAACAGAACAATCCTGTATTTGTTACGAACTCAAGATATGTCTTTCAAGTGAGTGAACTTGCCATCAGCAAAGCAGTAATTGCTGTTTGAGAAAAAAAAACGTCACTTGTTCTCCATCCCTTTTCTCCTGCCCTGTAGTTTTCACCTCCTCCTCCCCCCAGCCCGAATAAAAACAAAGAACACTAAATTTATTTACATATATTGATGTGGTAGGTCTCTAGGGGGAAAAAAAGTATCACTGGTCTAAGAAAATAAAATACAGAGTTTAAGCTGTGAAGGGCAACCTGTTTAGCTTCTCTGCTATAAGGCACACAGTTAATGGCACTGATGTTGAATTTTTATATAGTAGTTATTTATTTTCAACTCATTTAGATGTTTTAGCAGAAAACTTCTTATTTCTTATTTTCTTAAGGTTTTCTTACACAGGCTTGCCCTTGTTTGAGCGAGAGTTTTATCGCATTTCAACTTTCAATGTTACCTTGTCTTCTTTGGAATAATTCTCAAATTTCAAAATGGAAACCTTTAAGAAAATATAAAGCATTCAGCATGGATCTGTAGCCGTATGTATTTCATAAGAACTGTGTTTCCCACCAGTCAGATCTGAATTTTTGCATAATGCTTCATGACTTAATTATGACAGATAAAGGCAATGAGAAAGCCTGAAACCAGAAGATAGTTCAGAAACAAAAGCCAAGACTTACCCTGTTGGGTGAGGGGTCAGAAGAGGGCGCCACAGGCTTTAGGAGCGCCTCTGTCAAGCTGGTGCTAACCCTTTAAGTAGGAAGGCAGTCAGAATGATGAAACCACATTATTATTGTTTTAAAATAATTATTGGCTGTTCCTGTGTAGGCAGTTACAGGAAACGTTTCCTCAGAAGATGGAAATAATCATGCTTGAAACTTATTTTACTATTTTTAAAGTTTCTACCTCTAACTAGAGTTCTCAATGCAGTTCCTGTTTAAAGATGGGAGGTTCTAATCTTTTTT
The DNA here is from genome assembly GCF_000001405.40 of Homo sapiens. NCBI lineage: Eukaryota > Metazoa > Chordata > Mammalia > Primates > Hominidae > Homo > Homo sapiens. The sequence continues at coordinate 79,270,352 of NC_000023.11, read as the reverse complement.
CTGTGCCTAGCTAATAGAGAAATACAAAATAAAAATTCTCAAACTTAATTATTTTTGTTATTTTAACTCAGAATATCAGAGATTAATGGTGTCTTAGAGATTGTATCTAACTCTCTCATTTGACAGCATGAGAAACTGAGGCCCTGAGGAGCTACACATTGGATGTTGATAGAGTTGGAATAAGATTCCAGGATTCTTAGTCTTTTGTGATGCTTTTTCTAATATAGCAACTAGTAAATCCAGTAACAATGTATGTCTATGATGGCAATATATAGAGGAATTTTCCTCATCAGTTAGTGATTCTTAATCAAGCATTTATGGATGAAATGGCATTTACATAGAACTGTTTTAAAATACTTCAGTAAAAAGTGGAAGGACAGATAAATACAACAAGATTTGAAACGTGTTCTTAATCACTGAAAGTGGGTTAGGGTTCACTACACCATTCTCTCCATTTGTGTGTGTGTTCAAATATTTTTATAATAAAAAGCATTTTTCTGTCTTTTTTTTTTTTTCTTTTTTGGAGGTCTTGCTCTATCACCCAGGCTGGAGTACAGTGGTGCGGTCTCGGCTCACACACTGCAAACTCCATCTTCTGGGCTAAAGCAATCCTCCCACCTCAGCCTTCCGAGTAGCTGGGACTAAAGGTATGTGCCACCATGCCTGGCTAATTTAATTTGTGTTCACGTGTGTGTGTATAGAGATGAGTTCTCACTATATTGCCTAGGCTGGTCTTGAACTTATGGGTTCAAGTGATCCTCACACCTAGGCCTTCTAGAATGCTAGGATTACAGGTGTGGGTCACAGCTTTCGGCATAAAGAGCATTTTCTAAAAGTAATGTGTGTTAGGGGAAAGAATATGTAACAGGAAATTAAACCATTATGTATAGATTATGTATAATCTATGGATTTTAAATATCCATGATTATGACCATAATAAATATTTTTAAATAAAAAATGTCTTAATACCAATAAAAGTTTTATAAATAGGCACCTGCTAAAGAGAGTGTGCCTTTTCACAATACTGTACACTGCCATGTGCTAACATGAGGGCTTTTGTTTTTGAGAGAAATATAATTAAGTTCACAATTGTGGAAACCAACTTTATTATTTGCACTGTGTTGCAAGATTCCTTCAATTTTATCCAGAAATATAAACATATCTAGGGTGGATGTGTATGTTTATAAATACAGGGGACAGGTGGGATACTTCTCAATACAGCTTGATTATGTAGCAATTGATTTGGGAGTGTGTTTCCAAAACAATTTGAACATTATCTGTGCACAAAAAATTTTCAAGACGAACCAATCACCAAGAAACAATTCCTTTATTGTCATACACATATCTAGATACGCAGACATGGAATGCTGATGAGTCATCAAAAAGAACCAGGAGAGCATCAGTTAAATGGATTCAGGAAGGAAATTTGAGATTCTGGCTACAGAAAAATATACTGGATTTTGCTGGAAAAAGGGGATATATTTTAAACACTTGGAAACAAGGGCCATATGTGCCTACTGGTTGTATAACACAGATGACAACTAATAATTTTTGTAGCAAAAAGTTAACTTAATATACAGAAGCAGCCTCTCCCCCTAATTAATGAATTAATAAGCAAAAATCTCTGAAAGCTTAAAATTTAGGGGTTGGAGAAGATCATACTTTCTAAATCATTTTCCAACTGTTTCTCTATGATTTTTCTGCTTCAGAAGACCAGATAGGAAAGGCTTTCACTTAATAAAATGCAATGAGCGTCTCACTTTCCAAGATTAAATAGATAATTTGGCTTAAATCTACTAACACTCCAATACACTAGCATTTTCTTTTCTACAAAGGAAGCTAGGTTTTGGTACTTTACTCTGAATTTTTGTTTCAATTTTCATATTTCATAAATTCATATTTGTGTTTCTTCATACATAAGGAGCCATAAACCAAGGAAAGCATCAGCTCCGTGGTACACTAACCATTTGCAAATAATAGTTCTTCCTATAAAAGTTTGCTCTCTCTTTTTGAAGGAAATTTCTGGGCAAACAACATTTTGAGAAAGAAATTCAGATATGGGAAAGTAAAGATCATGGGGAGCAGGAGGCTTTAAGAAACCTGGCTTGTGCATGTGGTTTACACATGTTGAAAAGTATGAAGATTAATGAAGCCAAGAGCATAGAAGATAGAACAATATCAGATTTGAATTACAGCTGAGTTACCCACTTGGGAGTCAGTTTTAGATTGGAGCTGGTATGAGGGAATAGGGCCAAAATATGAAATCTTGGGTAATCAAAAGCTAAAATAAGATTCATGGATTTATGAATTGTGTTTTATTTTGAATAAATGCTTATCTTAACTTCCTTTATGGACCACTGCAATTTTAGTTTAAAAGAAAGGATAATCACTTTAAGATTATCCTGTCGTGTTGAGAGTGCAAGCATTCTATAAGTGGAGAAGGAGGTGTGGTGTGGGAAATGAGAGAAAGAGGGGAAAAACTGATGTCCAAAAAGAATATGGTACTTAGAAATAGAATTATATTGGCAGTCACGAGATCTGTATTTTAACCACAGTACTGATATTAACTTTATATATTACTGTAAGAAATTTCCTTTTCTCTCTGGCTTTTGTTTCCTCATGTAATCATTTAAGATGGTTATACTAAATGGTATAACCCTTTATAATTCTGCAATTCAAGTTAGAGTTATTTGGAATCATTTATTGCAGATTTGCTAGGTTTTGACTATTGTTCATTTATACCTGACAGCAACTAATAAAGCTAACACATTAATATAAATTTTAGTTGGAGTCTCCTGCTACCATTTGAATCATGTTAATGCTTAATGAAGGCTACACTTGGTCTTGAAGCATTATGCTGAGCACAACTTCTCACTGCTTACAGCTGGAGATAAAAGTGGAGGAAGTATAAGTGATTGGGCTGTTTACTAAATCCAGAAAAACACAACCTGGAAATGGCTGATTTGGAGTAATCTCGGGCATTAGCTTTTTTTCTTCTATGTTCTAAACTCCTCCTAGGTTATTATGGTTTCCAGTTAAACCTGATGTTCCTGTCCTAGTTGGCTGTTCTGCTCTCTTTCATGGATCCCTGAGATTTATGCAGCTGTTAAGGAAGTGACCAATTTTTAGATATCTCTTCTGCCTATAGAGATTATAGACTTTGCACATCTGAATACATCTATATCTAGACTCTTTCCCCGGTCCAACTCTGTTCGTGTCTTGTCCTATATTTTGGTTCCTCTCTTTAAATCACTATTACATCTTATATCAACACCTCCCGTAACTGGCAGTACAGGTTCAAATATGCCAGTAAATTTAGCAAGGAAAAATTATATGCCAATCTACTAAGCCTCAAGCAATAGCTCTTCTTTTTAAAAAGCCACTAATGCACGACTTGTCTCCGTGAGCTATATAGCAGGTTGGTGCAAAAGTAATTGCGGTTTTCGCCATTTAGAATAATAGCAAAAACCGCAAATATTTTTGCACCAACCAAATAGAAAAGAGATTGTCTTTCTCACATAGTGAAACATTCCTGTGACCACATCAATCTCATTTCTGCCAGGCCTTGCTGTGTGATTTCTGAAAATAAAAAATCTACCCTTTCTGAGAAATAGAAGTTCTTTTCTATATATTCCAGGGACAAAAAGCAAATTTAGACCTGACCCCATCTGCCACAATTGGTATATGAGATTATTTAGGAGGCTTTTGGACAAATACTTTATTTTAATAATTAACTTATTACTATTCATAATGTTGTAAATGTTATTTTTTTGCAGTTACTATTATTTCTTGATGTCATGTGTTACTTTTTTCCAAACATATAGTAATATAATGTTTCCTTTTAAAAGAAGTGAAGTAGGAACACTTTTACACTGTTGGTGGGACTGTAAACTAGTTCAACCATTGTGGAAGACAGTGTGGCGATTCCTCAAGGATCTAGAACTAGAAATACCATTTGACCCAGCCATCCCATTACTGGGTATATACCCAAAGGATTATAAAACATGCTGCTATAAAGACACATGCACATGTATGTTTATTGCGGCACTACTCACAATAGCAAAGACTTGGAACCAACCCAAATGTCCATCAATGATAGACTGGATTAAGAAAATGCAGCACATATACACCATGGAATACTATGCAGCCATAAAAAATGATGAGTTCATGTCCTTTGTAGGGACATGGGTGAAGCTGGAAACCATCATTCTCAGAAAACTATCGCAAGGACAGAAAACCAAACACCACATGTTCTCACTCATAGGTGGGAATTGAACAATGAGAACACATGGACACAGGAAGGGGAACATCACACACCGGGGCCTGTTGTGGGGTGGGGGGAGGGGGGAGGGATAGCAATAGGAGATATACCTAATGTTAAATGACGAGTTAATGGGTGTAGCACACCAACATGGCACATGTATACATACGTAAGAAACCCGCACATTGTGCACATGTACCCTAGAACTTAAAGCACAATAAAAAAACTTCTAAAAATAAAAAAAGAAGTTAAATAACTTTAAATAAAATTGAAATTGCCTAAGTTAAAAAAATATACATCCCATTATACATATTAAGTGGTGATAAGCAAGTATGGAAAAACCATGCAGGAGGTATAAAAATGATTAAAATTTGAGAAATACAGGACCAGATAACCTCAAGGTTGCCATAAGCCCTTAGATTTTGTGATTTCATCAATTACGACTTAATGAAGAATGAAATTATAAAGTTATTTTATCTCTACCTCCTTCTTCTCCATCCTCCACTCAGTGCTATGTCTTTTAGTACTGAGTCCTTACTTGTTCCAAAAGCGTCACCTCTGCCTAAGTCATTTTCAACAAGAGTTATTCGCCTTCCAAATGAAAGAGTGTCTTCCTGCATAATTACATGGCTCTTCTTGGAAATTACTGCAACAAATCTATTTTTTTAAAATCTATTTTCAATTCTACCTTTTTGGTGTCAGAACTTTAAGACAGACAAACCAGACATTCTCATTTCACTATAAGTGCTCATCTAAATGCCATCTTCAGCTGATGAGTAGAGTAAGCCTCAAATGATAGCCTAAAATCTGGGGCTGCATGGTTGTTTTACAAGCCGGGGCACAGATTCTCTGCTATTGTCGGATATGTGAACCATGAATGGTAAAGGTCCATTTGAGCATCTAAAGTTCAAAATAAAGCTAAAAGAACAAGCTAATGTCCCAAACAAAAGATCTCTTATGGCCACCATGCAGAGGTAATTCCAAATGTCCCTCAAAGAAAGCGGGGCTGGGCTTGGTGGCCCATGCCTGTAATTCCAGCACTTTCAGAGGCTGAGGCGGTGGATCACCTGAGGTTATGAGTTCAAGACCAGCCTTACCAACATGGCGAAACCTCATCTTTACTAAAAATACAAAAATTAGCTGCACATTGTGGTGCACACCTGTAATCCCAGCTACTCGGGAGGCTGAGGCAGGAGAATGGCATGAACCTGGAATGCGGAAGTTGCAGTGAACTGAGATCGCACCACTGCACTCCAGCCTGGGTGACAGAGTGAGACTCCATCTCAAAAAGGCAAAAGAAAAGAAAGAAAGAAAAAAGGAAAGCAGTGTACCAAGATTCAGTATTTTAAAAAATCCCTTAGGGTTTATGACACCCACCTACCTTTGCTTCACTAGGGTGAATGGAATTCTTTAACACTTTGCCCAGGAATCTATGATTTTTCAACACATATCAACATTTATCAAGGTTGTGTTTTTGCTCGATCTTTGGACAATAGAAATTAATGAGGGTCTCTTACATGTGAATAGCACCTATACTTTTTTTTTTTTTTTGAGACAGAGTCTCACTGTGTCACCCAGACTGGAGTGCAGTGGCACAACCTCGGCTCACTGCAACCTCCACCTCCCGGGTTAAAGTGACTCTCCCTACTCAGCCTCCCGAGTAGCTGGGACTACAAGGCATAAGTCCCCATGCCCAGCTTTTTTTTTTTTTTTTAATTAGAGACAGGATTTCACCATGTTGGCCAGGCTGGTCTCGAACTCCTGATCACAAATGATCCCCCTCACCTCGGCCTCCCACAGTGCTGGGACTATAGGCATGAGCCACTGAACCCGGCCCTAGCACCTATAATTTTATTTACTTCTTAAGTTTCACACAACCTAAGAAGTTAGGCAGAGTAGGTACTATTATCCTTATTTAGGAGAAGACAAAATTGAGAACTAGCCAGAGAGGTACTTCTGATTTATATTTTACATTAGAAGCAGAGTAGGCAGCATAACTCTATAGTCAAGACATCTGGGTGTCTTATGAGATCCTAGGTTCTATCTGGACTAGTTTGTCACTGGAAGTAGCACTAGAAAGGGTTTTAGAGAATATGACAAAAGGTAGAGGTAATAGTCCTGAACACTTCCTTCGATGTTCAGATATGTCTTGAAAAGCATGCACAGTCTCATTCTCCCAACCTAACTTAAGAACTGAGCACCTCTGGAAGAAGCTTCTTTGCTACCCTGGTGTAAACTGGTAGAGGGAATCCATCTGAGGTTTATATAAGCAAAACTTTTGACCTACCTAGTTTGAGAATATGACTAAATAGATCATTGCCCACAATTTTTTTTTGTTTTCAGATGATGAAACCTCAGATTTTCACTTTCAATAACATATAACATGGCAATAAATTCCCTCTAAACTGATAAAGCCAGAAGAGTTAAGAACAACATATTTTCAGCTATCCTTTTGTCTCTTACCAAAACAGATTCTCGCATATCACTGGGAACCAAAGGAGAAAGAAGACCAGGCCAGAATTAGAGATTTAGGAATCATCAGTATAGAGGTAGTATTTGAAATCATAAAAGTAAATGTGCCTAGTGTGAATAGGCAGCACGAGAAGAACAATAATTGCCTGGGAAGTAATATGGGGAAGAACAATATTTAAGCACTAAGCAGAGGGAGAGTTGACCCAGAAAAAGAGAACAAAAGGAAATAGACAAAAGGTAGCAAGATCAGTATGGCTACTTAATAAAACTAAGGAAGCAAAGCTCCAAAAAGTGGTGATGAACAGTGTAAACCACTTTAAAAAGTTCATGAATAACGATGACTTGAGGAAATATCACATTATATATTAATTGGGAAGACACTAGTGACCTTCAAGTGAGTATTTTCATTATAAAATGTGGAAGCCCAGTTTTAAGAGACAGAATAAGAATATGGAAAGAACATGGATGCAGTGGGTAAAGGTTATTTATAGATGCTTGGGTATGAAAAAATATAACAAAATTGTTATAATAATTTTGGAAATTATTAGTGGAAAAGAATTTCACCATGTTTAATAATTTATAAATACTTCTGACCTTAGGAATCAAAACAGAATGATAGTTTGACGAGGCAACATGGTAAATGTAACTTACATCTATTTTTAAGTGAATAAACAAAAGCACTTAAGTGTGTGCTTTTTGCATTTAGTTAGGAGAAAAAAGAAATGAGCTCATTGGCACCTTAGGGTGGCATAGGATTATATATAAAAACATTCTTCCTTTCATTTCCCACTAAGACTGAGTAGTGCCACCCACACTGTTCTTTTACTCTGGGGACATCTTTTCACAGTTCTGATGGTACCATTTTTAAAAACCTTCTAAATGTTTTAGCTATTTCTGTCACCTCTTGAAGGCTCTCTATTTGCCTCTGCTTACAAGTTTTAGTGAAAAAGGAGGTTAAGTGAAATAAATGGATCAGTGCTGATGTGACTAATCAATAGCCTAGAAATAAAAAATAGTCATTTCCAATTTGGCCCCAGTATCTTAAATTTCATTAATAAATCCGTGACTTTTCATGTGTATACATCTAGAGTGTATGTCTCTTACTTAATTTTTATTTTTTGCATAGCAGCTTCTCTCTGCAGTGTTCAGTGATGAGGATCTCAAAATAGCCACCTATTCATATGAGGACCTAGAGAAAGTCTGACTAACACAGTTTGTCCCCCTTCTCTTTCCTCTTCCTTGTATTTCCCTGACTTTTTGGGGGGCTTAATTCCCAAGTTGAATCATAGTCTTTCAATGTCTGCCAGTTCCAATTTCTCTTTATGTGTGACTGAAATCTGAACTCATGCAATACCCAATCTGGGGTGAAACATGTCCACGGCCTGGGCAAATGATCAGGTAATATTTCATAGGCAGCAGTGAGTAGTATCCAAGAATGTAAGGCATTCATGAGAAGCCTGAATTCAGCTTAGCTTGAGTTTTATAAGTGGAGACTTCAGGGATTTCATGGCTTTCCCTGATTAGAAAAATATATATGTTTCAAATCACTAGTAATCCCCAAATGCAACTTATTGGCACCTGTTTGTTGAAATTCCTTTCCTATTCAAGGAACTTAATACTTTCATTTAATCATAAAACTTCCCACCAGCTGTAAGCCTCTTATCCTTCATTTTAATATTTTCAGTAATTCTGCTTCATGTGTAGATAGTTGGTGATGTATTTTAAGTGGTAATATTGATGTTAAATAACTTTTATGTTATTGCTAAGATAATCATAATCTTATTACATTGTTATACCATTCAAAATCTCATGCTGCCACATCAGAAGATGTGACCACTATTTTCCACGGGAAATATTCTAAACAATTTATATGGGAAATTTAAATTGTTCAGTAAGTACCCTTGTATCCACTTTCACAGCTTACTTATCCTGAAGACAAAACTCCTTGCTGACTGTCAGGATCTTAGATCTGCTCAATAAGAATCATAGCTCAGCTACTAAGTCCTTAGCACCTACATGCAGGCCCAAGACTGCAACCAGAAGAAATAATAAAAAGAACGCTGCCTTAAAACCCGAGATATTTCTTTGTCCCCTTTACTGAAGCAATGGACCAACTTTATTGACTTACATGTGCCTATTATCAAGTTTTTGTTTAACTGATATTTATGTCATACCACCTTTCAAAAATATTCCTGCTTTCTTGTCCCTTAGCCAGCATTTAAATACTATCAATAGATAAAACAAGAAAAGCCTCAATAGTTTGTGATAATTTCTCCTTGCAATTAAATAAAACAACATAAGCAAGAAATGATAAATAATAATAAAGTTGGCTCATAGATAAGGCCAAATTATTCTAACTACTTTGTGCATTTCATTTGTGATTAAGATGAGTGAGAGGACTTACCAGAATTGCCTATCTTTAAACAGTTTTAGTTTGTTTCATCTGTTTTCCTATTGTATTTGTATAGGTGAGTATTCAAAGGAAAACACTGCTGTGCTTAGTTCACACATTTCCAATATCCCAAAGTTTATACAGTGAGAGTGACAACATTAAAACTTCTCTGAAAGAAAAATCTGAGGAAAGTTGACAACATTTTGCTTATCAAAGATTTTACTTACAAATGGAAACATATGTCCATTTGTGGAGATTCAGCTAGCTTGGGTAAGATTCCTTGAGCACAACAGAATAAGGAACAAACTGGCTACATAAAGAGTGCCTTAATCTGTCTACACCAAATGGTAATCCACCAACTAGCTTTCCTGTGAATACAAATATTATAGTTAAAACCCAATTCCAGCAAATTAGAACAGAAGGTCATGGATGCCAAGTTCTCTCCATGAGCCAGGAAATAATAACCAAGGGAAAATAAGCCTTGAATATTTGGATGAAATAGTATTCTCAAAAATCATTTGAAGCATTCTCTTCCTCTGTTTAAGGAAATGCAATCTAAAGGAACATCTAGATCATGCACTGTTTTAACAGTCAAAGGCTAAGCAAGAGGAAGAGTCTCTGCTGAGTTCATTACAAAAGGTTCATTCTCTTGTCAAATAGCAATTACTTTTAAAGCCACCCCACCAAAAATATCCCCACCATCTTGATTCTCACCCACCTACTCACTAACATAGAACAGCATCTCACAAAAATATCTAGACACTTAGGAGAGGAAAAGAGTGGGATTGGGTCAGCATCCACTTCTTTCTGCTGGACAAAGAGCCTTTCTTTCCATTTGCTAATTATAATGGTTGAGAACACAGACTTTGGTACCAGACTGATGTCAAAATATGTCTCGACTCTCTTTCTTAGCAGTGTGACTTTTAGAAGTCATTCAACACCTCTGTGCCTCAGTTTCCTTATCTGTAAAATGTAATAATAATAGAAACTAACTCATAGGGTTGTTGTGATGATTGCATGAATTGAAATATGTGTTTGTTATTTTAAGGCATGTAATTCCTCATCATGTACTCTTTGTGACTGGGTTTCATCTAGGCCAAGAATATTTGTCTGCTTGGTTACATTGAACTTCAAAACAATCCCTAATATGAGGAACAGTTGTATACATGCTGTGTTCAAGTGGGATGTGTAGAAATTTGCATGGTTTGTGTAGTGGATGTACACAAATCCCTCATAAATGATTATATGTGTTTTTATGTGTGTGTGTGTGTGTGTGTGTGTGTGTGTTCATACTTTTTTGTCATGGCTCTACCTGAAATTCCTAGGCCAATTGACAAGTGCATTTTTTTTTCACAAGAGTAAATTTTTAAGATTATTATTTTTCTTTTTCCTTTGTATGGAAACTTCTACTACATTGTTAGTTTCCTATATTCTCAGCAGGCAAGTTATTTTAAACCTAATTTGATTCAATTATTTTATTTAACTGTTGCTAGTTCAAGTTCAAAATTAAAGCACAGCTTTGTGGGCTGTGAATTTCATTAACTTATGTTCTAGGTTTCTTTCAGTGCCCACATAGACTCCCACACTCTATCGCCTTCCCCTCTGAGTCCCCAGGGACCCACAGCTCTGTTTCAGAAAGAAAAAAAAAAGGCTTGTGCTTTCATTTTACACTTGTGAAACAGCCAACTTCAAGCCACTATTGCCCCACTCCCACTCCCAAAAGCCAAGAATGAAAAAAAGTCACTCCTTTTTTGTCTGCTTTTGCCTTGTTTCATATGGATCAAATTGGGTTTGTTTAGCTTTGAAACTCCTAATGTTGCATTACTGTTGCATTACTGTTGGTTGAACTGCTCCCACCCCTCTGTTCTGTTGCACACAGACAGGAAGGTAGATAAGCCATGCCTGTTAGACACATGGTAAAACAGTTCACAGCTGCTGAAGCCAAAGCCTGCATTCTTGTTCAAATGTGGTTAAGCTGGGAAACTGAAGTGTGGGTGTCTATGGAAACAGTCGTTCAAGAGATTATGAGATGAGACATAGAGAAACCAATTTGTAAAGGGGATGTGCTAACTCCATCCTCCTCCTCCACTTTGTGCTTACCAAGTGGCAATACAGACTAGGAGGGCCACCTTCAAATTTTCCTTCAAACACACTTAGCTGCTGTGTTACTGCTTTTCCCTTGGTGGAATAGTTTAGTTCTGAGTGCTCAGGGCTATAAGCAGATTTTACTGGCTGCAGGCTCCAGAAACCTACCTCTCTCCACAAAGACACAATGCCTTTGACCATCATCCTTTTTAAGCATTGACTCCGAACTTATTTGGTGGTGCAAGGAGCCTTCTGAATTGTAGAATGGAAAGAGTATTAGTGTTACAGTTAAGAATTTTTTCTCAAGTCCTAATTTAGCCAATCATTAGCAGTAGCTAAGGGAGTTGTACAGACCTTGGGAGTCAGACTGCCTGGGATCTTAACCTGAGCTCTGCATGAGCAAAATAGTAGTTATATAACCTTAGGCAAGTTACTTAACCTCTTTTTTACCTCAATTTTTTGATCTATGAGATAGTTACAGTAATAGGTCCTATACCTCACAGGGACATGTGAGAATTTAATGAAATAATACATATACTTGGTCCAAGGTAAGATGGTAAAATTTTAATAAGTAAATGTTATATTCTTCCTCCACCACCATCATCATCATCATCACCATCATTTCTATATTACTATCTGGGGAAAATCAAATAATCTTGCTTCTCCTTAGTGGACTTAGTTATATATTGATAATCATGAACTATGGATGCTGTGAAAATTTCAAAATTTACTAGTTCCTAGAAAACACAGTAGTCTCTGAAATATCATATGAATTAAAGCATGATAATAATTTTTATTGATTATTATTAAGTATAGAAGCTAGCAAGTGACTACATGCCTTTTTTCTGGAGTGAAGTCAAATCTAAAAGTGAGAACACAAGCATTTATTTCACAGTTATTTTGGTAAAATGAATCCTAGTTATCCCCTTCATTGGCATTTCTTCAATGATTCTTGCAAATTTACCCATTAGATTCCAGAGATAGTCATGTCTTCAGAGAATCAGTTCAGATCAGGACTTGGCTAAAAGACCTTTTGACCTTAGCATGAAATATCAGAGAGAATTCTAAGATGGGTTTTCTTCAGGTGCTTTGATTAGAGAAGCCTCTGCATTATCTATGAAATCTCAAAAAAAAGTTAGAAACTTTGTAGACTCTTCTTGATTGTCCTATTAATTCAATGTCAGGTTTTCTCTGGTTTTCACCAGAATAGTCAAAAGACCCTGAAATTAAACTCTAATATCACAGCTTTTTACAGTCTGTGGATGGGGCTTAAAGACTCTCAGCTTTTCCTTTTTTGTAATATACTTTTGTCTATTGACAAAATGAGCTAGATGTGTGTGGAGTTATGTTTTAATGTTTGACTCAAGTGAAATTTTGGTTGTTCAAAGTTCCTAAGAAAGGTCACCTATCATCTTCATGATTACTTGTGGAATTGTACATAGGGTTTCACTGCCAAGATCTAGGGAGAGGCATTACTTGCCATCATTTCTTCTTATTCAACCTCTTGCAGCCAAGAGCAAAGAGGACCAGTAACTATGTTGTACAGTTTTCAGAAAGCTCTGGGTCCATGAGAGTATTTAAATTTTAATTTGTAATTATAATTTTTTTATTTTTATTTTTGTGGCTACATCATAGATGTATATATTTATGGGGTACATAAGCTACTTTGATACAGGCATACAATATGCAATACCCACATCAGAGTAATAGGGTATCCATCACCTCGAGCATTTATTCTTTCTTTTGGGTTATACACACCCTAATTGTACTCTTTTAATTTTCTTAATGCACAATAAATTGTTGTTCACTGTAGTCACCCTGTTCTGCTATCAAATACTAGATTGTATGCATTCTATCTAACTATACTTTTGTACCCACTAACCATCCCCTCTTCCCTTTTCTACCCTCACTACCCTTCAAAGCCTCTGGTAACCATCTTTCTACTGTCTATCTTCATGAATTTGTTTCAAGTTTTAGCTCCCACAACCAAGTGAGAACACGCAAAGTTTGTCTTTCTGTGCCTGGCTTATTTCGCTTAATATAATGTCCTCCAGTTCCATGTAGTTGCAAATGACAAAATCGCATTATTTTTGTGGCTAAATAGTACTCCATTGTGTATATGTACCACATTTTTTTTATATGTTCATTTTTTGTGACACTTAGGTTACTTCAAAATCTTGGCTATTGTGAATAATGCTGTAAGAAACATGAAAGCGTAGATATCTCTTTGATGTACTGATCTCCTTTCTTTTGGGTATATAGCTAGCAGTGGGATTGTTGAATCATATGGTAATTCTGTTTTTAGATTTTTTTAATTTTTAATTTTTGCGGGTACATAGCAGCTATATATATATGGGGTATATATACACACACATATATATTTATGGAGCATACACACACACACACACATATATATATTCTTTGACACAGGCATACAATGTTTAATAATCACATCAAGGTAAATGGGGTATCCATCACCTCAAGCATTTATTCTTGTGTAAAAAACAATCCAATTATAAACTTTTAGTCATTTTGAAGTGTATGAGTACGTTATTATTGACTGTAGTCACCCTATTGTGATATAAAATGCTGGATCTTATTCTTTCTAACTAATTCTGTGCACATTAATCAGCCCCACTCCAGCCACCACACCCAACCTCTCACTACCCTTTCCAGCCTCTGGTAAACATCTTTCCACTCTCTATCTCCATTAGTTCAATTATTTTAATTTTTAGCTCCTACAAATAAGTGAGAACATGTAATGTTTGTCTTTCTGTGCCTGCCTTATTTCACGTAACATAATGATCTTCAGTCCTATCCATGTTGTTGCAAATGACAGAATCTCATTTGCATATTACTCCATTGTGTATATATACTCCATTCTCCATTGTGTATATATACCATATTTTCTTTATCTGTTTCTGTGCTGATGAACACAGGTTGATTCCAAATCTTGGCTATTGTGAACAGTGCTGCAACAAACATAGGAGTGCCGATACTGTCTTGTTATACTGATTTCTTTTTTGTAGTTGTTGTTATATACCTAACAGTGGAATTGCTGAATCACATGGTAGCTGTAGTTTTAGTATTTTTGAGGAACCTCCAAACTGTTCTTCATAGTGATTTCCTGTGCTTTGGATAAAAGCCATTTTAACTGGGGTGAGATGATACCTCTTTGTAGCTGTTATTTACATTTCTCCGACGATCAATGATGTTGAGCACCTGGTCATGTATTTGTTTGCCATTTGTATGTCTTTTTCTGAGAAATATCTATCCAAATCTTTTGCCCATTTTTTAATCAGATTATTAGGTTTAGGTTTTCTCCTATAGAGTTGTTTGAGCATGTCATATATTCTAGTTATTAGTCTCTTGTCAGAAGGATAGTTCGCAAATATTTTCTCCCATTCTGGGGGTTGTCTCCTCACTTTGTTGATTGTTTCCTTTTCTGGGCAGAAGCTTTTTAATTGATATGATGCCATTTGTTCATTGTTTCCTCTCTTGCTTGTGCTTGTAGAATATTACTTAAGAAATCTTTGCCCAGTTTAATAACCTGGAGAGTTTCCTCAATTTTTTTTAGTAGCTTCACATTTTGAGGTCTTAGATTTAAGTCTTTAACCAATTTTGATTCGATTTTTGCAAAAGATGAAATATAGGGTTTTAGATTCATTCTTCTACAAATGAATATCAGTTTTCCCAGGACAATTTATTGGAGACTGCCTTTTCCCAATGTATAATATGTTCTTGGCACCTTTGTTGAAAATGAGTTCACTGTAGATGTATAAATTTATTTCTGGTTTCTCTATTTTGTTTCATTAGTTCGTGTCTGTTTTTATGCTAGTACCATGCTGGTTTAGTTACTGTAGCTCTAGAGTATAATTTCAAGTCAGGTAATATGATTCTTTCAGTTTTGTCTTTTTGCCCAGGATAGTTTTGGTTATTCTGAGTATTTTGTGATTCCATATAAATTTTGGGATTGTTTTCTCTATTTCTGTGAAGAATGTCATTGATATTTTCATGGGGATGTCATTGAATCCATAGACTGTTTTAGGTAGTATGTGCAGTTAAACAGTACTGATTTTTTTTTCAGATTTTCAAAATAGCCTTTATTTTTAAAAAGTTAATATGTGCATTATAAGAAACTAAAAAACACCAGAAGCAAAGAATAAAGTTATCCACAATTACCAGCAGTTTACGGTTTGCCATGTCTTTCTAGGTCCTGTGTATATATAGATAAAACATTCAATTTTATGGGATTGAGGTTGTATAGTGTGTGCCATGCTTTTTCACATATCATGAATATTTACCAGTTCAAAATTCCAGACCAAGTGCAGTGGCTCACGCCTGTAATCCCAGCAATTTGGGAGGCCAAGGTAGGTGGATCACTTGAGGTCAGGAGGTCGAGACCAGCCTGGTCAGCATGGGGAAATTCCGTCTCTACTAAAACTACAAAAATTAGCTGGGCATGGTGGTGCATGCCTGTAATCCCAGCTACTCAGGAGGCTGAGGAAGGAGAATTGCTTGAACCTGGGGGGTGGAGGTTTCACTGCACTGAGCCAAGATTGCATCACTGCACTTCAGCCTGAGTGACAGAGTGAGACCCTGTCTTGAAAAAAAAAAAAACTTCCAAAGCTATATGAGAATTTTGATAACCAAGAATACACTACACCAAGTCAATATGTTAGAAAAAAGATGTTATCCTGCTTTTCTTGAAACAAAAATTTTATAGAAGGCAAAAATGGCAACATGCCTCTAGATAAAAACATTGGCAGAGTTCTGATTAAAATACTACACTATCTTAATGCCCAATTTAAGATAAAACATAAAACAACATAATACACTAAATATGATGTTTCTAAGATAATTCATTAGCAGAGCTAATTAATTCACTAAAACATTATCAGAAAGATATGTTTCCATTGAATTACTTAATGTATTTTTATAGTACAGCCAAAAGAGATTAACATATATCAATGGATATCAGCAAAATGTTAATATGAACACATCTGCATATTTCTTTCCCTTTATACTTACTTTTGTCCCTTTGTTGTCAATCTAATAAACAAATCCTTATACACACTTCTCAGAGGGAATTTAACAATTCTGTGTCCAAGATGCATATTTTCTATTAAATATAACAAAAAGTTATTTACAAATTGGCTAATTCACTAGCTCTACTTTTTGTCATACATTGTCACACAGGACTTTCAGAAAGCTTACATGTTGCAATAATGTACTTCGTCCACAATAAACAGAGGAACTTTGCTAAAAATGCTAATGTAGACCTATGGTTATCATCTAAAACCATCTTTAGATATAGAGTTACTACAAAAGAGCCTTTTCCTTCACCCTTGATCTTCTCCCTGTTCCACCATCCCAGTGGCTAAGTATAGGACTATGTCTAACTCCAAGTGGTGGGCTAACGAAGTTTACTCCCAGAAGACAGGTCTTTCTAAAAACTAACAAAAGGACATTTGTAAGTGGATTTTTTTTTACTACCTCTACTTTTAACATACTTTGAGCATTGGGAATTATCTTTTAAAACACAACAATATTAACTAAAATGCACATATAGAAAAATGGTTAAACCACTTTAATTAATCTAACTCACAGTCACAGAATCCTTCTCCTTGCATACTTCCTCCTCCCTCCACCCACCACTACCTAATGAACAGCTAGCTTACTCTTCAAAGCATCGAATTTAACAATTTCATTTCCAAATGCAACCACTCCTAGGAAATTAAAAAATGCATAAAAGGTGTTATTTTAGCCCTCCACTTTAACCTATGTTAAATATCTAGAAAGGCTGTATGTTTCCAAAAGGACTTCAGTTTTCCACTAAATACAGAGTAGCACTATTTAGTGGAATAAATGTTGCACATATATAACACAGGCTATAATTTGAAAATGTCTTCTAAATAGGAACATCCTGGCCTAGACTCTTTTCCCTTCCCACCTCTATCTACCCAATGGACAGGAACAACCATCTGTAATGCTTAGAGGGGATTTTTAACAATTTCACTTATGCAAGTGCTTTTAAGAACAGTCTTTTCTATAAATTTTAACACAAAGTGCACTAGATGTATTAATTTACTTACTCTACTTTTGTCATACACTAGCAACCTCTTTATTATTTGTATGTTGCAAATTAGGACTCATTTGTCTATTTATATATACTATACACACAGCACAGTAAAACAAATGCAGACATAAGGGACAATGGTCGATTGTGCCTCATCATGAAAACACTAGTATAAAGCTCTTCACACTTTCTTCTTCTTCCCAGGAACAGCACAAACATAATAATGTGTACTGCTCTGAGAAATGGTTTCATCAATTTTCAAAAGACAATATTTCATATGAATCAAAATGATATCTACACAACGTGTTCTTTACTGACTCTAATCTTAACATATTTTGTGCACTTCTAAACATCTAGAAAGACTAAAGTGAACATCGGAGTGAACAGAAAACCTACAGAATGGGAGAAAATTGTTGCAATCTACACATCGGACACAGGTCTAATATCCAGAGTCTACAGGAACTTAAACAAATTTACAAGAAAAAAAAAACACATTAAAAAGTGGGCGAAGGATATGAACAGACACTTCTCAAAAGAAGACATTTATGTGGCCAAGAAACATACGAAAAAAAGTTCATCATCATTAGTCATAGAGAAATGCAAATCAAAACCACAGTGAGATACCATCTCACACGAGTTGGAATGGCCATTATTAAAAAGTCTGGAAACAACAGATGCTGAAGAGGATGTGGAGAAATAGGCATGCCTTTACACTGTTGGTGGGAGTGTAAATTAGTTCAACCATTGTGGAAGACAGTGTGATTCCTGAAGGATCTAGAACCCAGAAATACCATTTGACCCAGCAATCCCATTACTGGGTATATACCCAAAGGATTATAAATTATCCTACTATAAAGACACATGCACATGTACATTTATTACATCACTATTTACAATAGCAAAGACTTGGGACCAACCCAAATATGGAATACTATGCAGCCATAAAAAAGAATGAGTTCATATCCTTTTCAGGAACATGGATGAAGCTGGAAGCCATCATTCTCAGCAAACTAACACAGGAACAGAAAACCAGACACCACATATTCTCACTCATAAGTGGGAGTTGAATAATGAGAACACATGGACGCAGGGAGGGGAACATTACACGCTGGGGCCTTTTGGGGAGTGGAGGGCAAGGGAAGGTAGAGCCTTAGAACAAATACCTAATGCATGCAGGGCTTAAAACCTAGATGATGGGTTGATAGGTGCAGCAAACCACCATGGCACATGTATACTTATGTAGCAAACCTGCATGTTCTGCACATATATCCCAGAATGTAAAGTAAAATTAAAAAAAAAAAGACTAGATGTTTCAAATAAAGACTTAAGTTTGTCCACTATATACAGAGTGGTTTTGAATAAATGACACACTTATAACACTGGTTACATCGGGTGTCTTCTAAACAGAAACATTCTAGTATAGATTCATTAATTTCTTCCAACTTTTCTTCACAACCAACCCAGTGGATACAGGCACCTGTGTCACTTAGAGTTGATGTTATCATTTCAACTTCCACAATTTCTTTTCAGAATACAGCCTTTCTATGAATTTTAAGGCAAAGTGTACAAAATGTGTTAGTTTACCAACTCTACTTTCCTCATTTATTGGCAACCTCTTTAATATCTACAGAGTAGATATTATAAAATTAGGAATCATTTGTTCAGTATATACACAATATATATGGTATACCAAAAATAGATGAAATGAACATAACATACAGGGTGATGGATAAACTTAAATTTTCTAGTACACTCCAGCAAAACACACTTTCGAATATATTTCCTCCCACCTCCCTCAAGGCAGTGAACAAGTACAGAGAATATACACTGTTCACACGGTTGGTTTAACAATTCCACTTTCAAACAGAATATTTCCCATCAGTCTTTAAAAGCTGTTTACAAAAAGTGTTATCTTACTACTTCTAATTTAAATACAACAAGCACTTCTAAATATCTAAAATGGATAGATATTTCACATTGACTTGTCCACTATGTACACAGCACTGTAAAACTACACGCATTGAACAATGGTTATAATCTGAGGTGTCTTCTAAATATGACCATTTTGGCCTTGAGCCATTCCCTCTTCACTTCTTTCTGTCTTCATTCCAGTGGACAAGTACAAGCTTAGGGGTTGTTGAACAAATTCATATCCAAAAGTCACTTACGGAGGACAAGCTCTCCTATGAATTTCAACACAAAATGCACAAAATGTGCTGATTTTACTAAGTCCTTTGTCATACAGTGGCAAACTCCTTAACATCTAGAGACTAGATATTGCAAGTTTAGGACTCATTCATCAGTTATATATACTATAAGCATGAGCAAAACAAAATGCACAAAACATACTGGAAAATGGTGTCTGAAAATATCTAAATATGAACACGCCTGTATGTTACCTTTTGCAGTTTGTTCTAAACAAGTATAGATGGTACTATACTGCTCACAGAGGCAGTTTAACAATTTCAATTCCAAAAGACAATACTTACTATGAATTCTAACAAAAATATATTTACAAAGTGATATTTTACTACCTCTACATTTAATATATGTCAGGCACTTCTAAATATCTAGACAGACTAAATGTTTCAGGTAGGGTGTTAACTTGTCGACTATATACCCAACATTCTTGAATAAGCTGCACACATGCAACAATAGTTATAATTTGAAAGAGTCTGACAAATATGAACATTCTAGCCTATAAACCCTACCATTTTCATCAACCCAGTGGGTAGTAGTGCTTAAATTTTCAGAAGACATTTTTTTCCCTAGGAATTTTAAATCAAAATATACAAAATATTTTAGTTTACTAATCTACTTTTGTCTTACACTGGCAACCTCTTTAACATCTGGAAAAACAAAATGTTGTAAATTGGGACTTGATTTTTCTTGATATATACTATTTACTCAAATAAGTAAAACAAAACGCACAGACATAGGGACAATGGTTAATTTTTTTTTTTTTTTTTTTTTTTTTTTTGCGACCAAGTCTCACTCTGTTGCCCAGGCTGGAGTTCAGTGGTGCAAACTTGGTTCAGTGCAACCTCCGCCTCCCAGGTTCAAGTGATTCTCCTGCCTCAGCCTCCTGAGTAACTGGGATTACAGGCACCCACCACCACACCTGGCTAATTTTTTTATCTTTAGTAGAGACAGGGTTTACCATGTTTACCTTACTGTAAGCACACTGGCATGAAGCTCTGTACACTTCCTCCTCCTTCCTCTTCCCCTGAACTAGTGCACAAACCTAATATGTATTACTCAAAAAGTGGTTTGGTCATTTCCTCCACAAAGCAACATTTCATGTAAATTTTAACAAAAATGTAATTGGAAAATATGTTATTTTACTACCTCTAATTTTAACACATATAAGGCACTTCAGGATATCTAGAAAAAATAGATAATTCAAAAAAGTATTTAGCATTGTCAATCATATATACAGTAGTGAGGAATAAAATGCACACAAAAAACAATGGTTATGATATAAAAATGACTTCTAAATATGACCAGTCTGGCATAGAACCACCTTCTCTTCCTCCTTAAGTCTTCTGCTCCATGTCCACTGAACAAATGTCAATGTGTCACTTCTGGTGTCACTTTCAGAAGTAGTCTAACAATGCCATTTCAAAAATTCATTCTCAGAAGACATTTATTTTCTATGACTTTTTAAAAAATGGGAATTTACAAGATGCGTGATTTTCTCACTCTACTTCATCATACGTCAGCAACCTCTTTACCCCTAGAAAGGTAGATGTAGCAAATGTTTTCTTTTAAAAGGTTTAGGTGAAAGTTGAGAACAACTTTTACATATTATATACACAGGCCTTCTATAAACAGCCAGTAAATCTTCGCAAAGAGTGGTGGAGCATTTCCACCTGGCCAAATGTGGTATGCCATTCTACAACTTTTCTCTTACAATACAAAGGTCTGGTAGAATGAAGACCCACCACTCAACCGCCCGCTAACCATTCTACCTGTGATCATCTGGGAGTCCACTCACCTTCCTAGCCCATTAATTCCTTTGTTCCTTGTCATCAGGACTATGTAGGTCTTGCCCAATTGGGACAAAGCAGTCATGCAAGGACTTGGATCCCCAAGGCTCCATGGCCTAAAGAGGTGGGTGTATTTGTATCCATAGACCCACCTTCTCGGGCCCTCCAAACCCTAAGGGTCCCCATGGCATTTGGGCCACCACCATTCTTCTCACCCCACCACCACCCACAGGCACCTAGTTTTTGACCCACATCTTTGTCATGTTCTAGATAGTAGAGGTAAAGCTTCCAGGATTTCCCCATTCAGTTTGATACTAGCTGTGAGT
The DNA here is from genome assembly GCF_000001405.40 of Homo sapiens. Taxonomy (NCBI): domain Eukaryota; kingdom Metazoa; phylum Chordata; class Mammalia; order Primates; family Hominidae; genus Homo; species Homo sapiens. The sequence goes on along the minus strand of NC_000023.11, from coordinate 79,248,748 downwards.
CTTTCATGTATGCTGTTTGTTGTGTCGAGGTATGTTCCTTCTATACCCAGTTTTTGGAGGGTTTTTATCATGAAGGTATGTTGAATTTTATGAAATACCTTATGAACATCAATTGAATGGATCACATGATTTTATTTCTTCATTCTATTTATATGGTGTATCACATCAATTGATTTCCCTATGTTGAACCATTCTTGCATTGTAGGGATAAATCCCACTTGGTCATGAGGAATGATCTTTTCAATGTGTTGTTGAATTTGATTTGCTAGTATTTTGTTGAGGATTTTTACATGACTGTCAATCAAAGCTATTGGCCTATAGTTTTCTTTCTTTTGATGTGTCTTTTTCTAGTTTGGGTATCAGGGTAATACTGGCTTCTTAGAATAAGTCGGGAGGTATATCCTCTTTTTTGTTTTTTGGAATAGTTTGACTAGAATGGGTATTAATTCTTCTTAAATGTTTGGTAAAACTCAGCAATGAAGCCATTGGGTCTCAGGCTTTCATTTGCTAGGAGAATTTATATTATCATTTTGGTCTCATTACTTGTTATTGATTTACCCGTGCTTTGGATTTCTTTGTGGTTCAATCTTGGTAGTTTGTATTGTCTAGATATTAATCCATTTCTTTTAGGTTTTTAGATTTATGAGCATATAGCTACTCATAGTAATCTCTAATGATTGTTTGATTTTTTCACAGTATCAGTTGCAATGTTTCTTTTTTATCTTTCATTTTATGTATTTGGGTCTTCTTTTTTCTTAGTCTGGCGAAGGTTTGTTGATTTTGTTTATATTTTCAAAAAACAAACTTTTAATTTTGTTGATCTTTTCTATATTTTTGTTTTAATTTCTTTTGCTCTAATCTTCATTTTTTTCTACTCATTTTGAGTTTGCTTCACTCTTGCTTGCCTAGTTCTTTAAGATGCATGATTTTGTTGTTTATTTGAAGTTTTTCAACTTTTTTGATGTAGGTGCTTATTACTATAAACTGTCCTTTTACTACTGCTTTTGCTGTGTCTCATAGGTTTTACTATATTGTGTTTCCATTTTCATTTATTTTGTAGAAATTTTTAAATTTCCTTCTTAATGTCTTCATTGACCCACTGGTCATTTAGAAGCATATAGTTTACCCTCCATGTGTTTGGTTAGTTTCTAAAGTTCCTCTTGTAATTGCTTTCTAGTTTTATTCCATTGTTGTCAGAGCAGATACTTGATATGATTTCTAATTTTTGGAATACTTAAAAGCTTGTTTTATAGTGTAACATATGGTCTATCCTTGAGAATGATCCATGTGCTCAGAAGATGTTGTATTCTGCAACCATTGTATGAAATGTTCTATAAATGTCTATGAGGTCCATTTGTTCTATAATGCAGATTAAGTCTGTTTTTTCTTTGTTGATTTTGGAAGGTCTCGAGGGTCTGTCTAATGCTGAAAGTAGAGTGTTGCAGTCTCCAGCTATTATTGTATTGAGGTCTATCTCTCTCTTTATCTCTAATAATATTTGCTTTACGTTTCTGAGTGCTCATCTTGGGTGAATATATATTTATTATTGTTATATTCTCCTACTGAATTGACTTCATTACCACAATATAATAAACTCTTTTACTTTTCTTATAGTTTTCATGTTGTAATCTATTTTTTCTGATACAAGTATAGCAAACTCTGTTCGTATTTTTTCCCATTTGCATGGAATATTCTTTTCCAACCATTTATTTTCTCTATGTGTGACTTTATAAGTGAAGTGTGTTTTTTTGTAGGCAGTGGATAGTTGGTTCTTTTATTTTTAATTATCCATTCAGCCACTCTATTTCTTTAGATTGGAGAATTTAGTCCATTTACATTCAGTGCTATTATTGATAAGTAAGAACTTATGCCTGCAATTTTGTTATTTGTTTTTTGGTTGTTTTGTGGTCTTCTCTTCCTTCCTTCCTTTCTGTTCTTTGTGTGAAAGTGATTTTTCTCTGTAGTAGTTTTTAATTAATTTCTTTTTATTTATGTGTATCTCTTGTAGGTTTTTTGATTTGAGGTTACCACGAGGCTTGCAAATAATGTCTTATAACCACTTATTTTTAAATTATGACAACTTAACTCTGACCTCAAAAACAAACTAAGAAACTAAAAACAAGCAACAAGAAAACTAAAAAAAACTCTACACTTTAGCTTTATCCCCCTACTTCTTAAAATTTTGTTGTTTCTATTGCTATCTTTTTATACTGTGTCTTAAGAAGTAGTTGTTATTATTTTGGATAGATCCATCTTTTAATCTTCCTACTGATGATACAAGTAGTTTGCACAGCACAATTACAGTGGTATAATATTCAGTATTTGGCTGCGTATTTACTATTACTAGTGAATTTTGTGCCTTTAGATGATTTCCTCTTGGTCATTAACATTTCTTTCTTTCAGACTGAAGAACTCTCTTTAGCATTTCTTGTAGGACAGGCCGGGTGTTTGTAAAATCCCTAAGTTTTTGATTGTCTGGAAAAGTCTTCATTTCTCTTTATGTTTGATGGATATTTTTGCTGGATGTGATATTCTGGGATAAAAGTCTTTTCCCTTCAGCATTTTATATATGTCACGGCACTCTCCAGGCTTGTAAGATTTCCACCGAGAAATTTGCTGTCAGATGTATTGGAGCTCCTTTAAATGTTGTTTGTTCTTATCTCTTGCTCTTTTTAGAATCCTTTCCTTATTCTTGACCTTTGGAAGTTTGATTATTAAGTGTGTCCAGTTAGTCTTGAGTTAAATTATCTTGGTGTTCTGTAACCTTCTTGTACTTGAATACTGATCTTTAGGTTTGTAATGTTCTCTATTATCTTTTTGAATAAACTTACTACCCAGATCTCTCTCTCTCAACCTCCTCTTTATGACCAATAACTCTTATAATTTGAAGCTAATTTCTAGATCTTATGTACATGCTTCTCTCTTTTTTATTCTACTTTCTTTTGCCTCCTCTACGTTTTTTCAAATAGCCTGTCTTCAAGCTTCTGAATTCTTTCTTCTGCTTGATTAGTTCTGCTGTTCAGAGTCTCTGATGCATTTTCAGTTTGTCAAATAAATATCTTAGCTCCAGAATTCCTGCTTGGTTTTTCTTTTTCTTTTTCTTTTTTTCTTTTTCGAGACGGAGTCTCGCTCTGTAGCCCAGGCTGGAGTGCAGCGGCGCGATCTGGGCTCACTGCAAGCTCCGCCTCCCGGATTCACGCCATTCTCCTGCCTCAGCCTCCCGAGTAGCTGGGACTACAGGCGCCCGCCACTACGCCCGGCTAACTTTTTGTATTTTTAGTAGAGACGCGGTTTCACCGTGTTAGCCAGAATGGTCTCCATCTCCTGACCTCGTGATCCGCCCGCCTCAGCCTCCCAAAGTGCTGGGATTACAGGCGTGAGCCACTGCGCCCGGCCAATTCCTGCTTGGTTTTTAAAAATTATTTCAATTTCTTTGTTAAATTTATCTGATAGGATCCTGAATTCCTTCTCTGTGTTATATGGAATATTATTGAACTTCCTCAAAACAACTATTTTGAATTCCCTATTGGAAAGGCCACATATCTCTGTCACTCCAGAATGGTCATGGTGCCTTATTTAGTTTGTTTGATGAGGTCACGTTTTTCTGTATAATCTTGATGCTTCTCGATGTTTGCCAATGTCTGGGCATTGAAGAGTTAGGTATTTAATGTTATCTACACAGTCTTGACTTGTTTATACCCATTCTTTTTAAGAAGGTTTTCCAAGTATTCAAAGGGAATTGACTGTTGTCATCTAAGTCTTTGGTTACTGAAGCCATATGTGCATTAGGGGGCACTCCAAGTCCAGTAACGCTGTGACTTTTGTAGACTCATTGACATACCATCTTGGTGGTCTTGGGTAAGATCCTGGAGAATTTTCTGAGCTATAAGGCATTGTCTCTTATTTTCTTCCCTTTCTTTTCCCCAAACAAATGGAGTCTCTCTCTGTCTCTCTCCATGATGAGCCACCTGTAGTTGGTTGAGGGAAGGGGTGGTGGTGACACAAGCACTCACGTGGCCACCACCACTGGGACAGTGCTGAGTCACACCTAAAGCTAACACAGTAAAGGGTCTCACCCATAGCCTGTGGCAACTATTGCCTGGCTACCGTTAATGTTTATTCAAGACCCAAAGCTCTTTAGTCAGCAGGTGGTGAATTCTGCCAAGACCAGGTCTTTCTCTTCAGGGCAGTGGGTTCTCTTCTGGCTCTCAGTGGGTCTAGAAATGTTGTCCTTAAGTTTTTGGCCTGAGACTGGGGTTTCAGGGCTCTATAGGGTTTTATCTTACTGTGACTCTGCTGGTTTCCAAGTTGCAAGACAAAGTCTTCTTTACTCTTCCCTCTGCTTTCCTCAAGCAGAAGGTGTCTCTCCTGGAGCTGGGAGCTGTGCTACCTGGAGTTGGGGAAGAGGTAATGCAAGCACTTTCTTGGCCACCATAGCTGATGTCTCACTGAGTCCCATGCACCCCAAGCCCACTGGCTCCAATGCCAGTACAGAAACAGGACTTGCCCAGGAATTTTGGTTCTTGTAACCTAGACTTCCTTTCAAATTTATTTAGGACCTCAAAGAACTTTAGCCCCTCAAAGAACTTTAGCCCCTGGTCGGGGGGCTAGCTGGAACTCAGGTTCTGACAGGTAGGATGGATGATTTCCCACTGGGTAGGCCTGGTCTAAATGCTCCCTCCATGGTTACCAGATGAATTCTGCTCTGGGTTTCTTGCCACTGTGACATGGCAACACTGAGTTCCAAAGCAGTCTCACAATCACTTCACTCTCCCTCCCTCAAGCAAAAAATTATCTCTCCCAGTGCCATATGGCACTACCATCGGATGAGGGAGGGACAGTGTAGGCAATTCAAGACTGTCTTTTCTACCTCCTCAATGCCACTTTGCTTGATATGATGTCAAAACTAGGTACTGTTATCACTCACCTGTATTTTGGTTCTTATTTATGTGCTTTTCGTGTGAATAGTTATTCAGTTTGGTTTTTCTGTGGGGGGACAAACACTGGAGGGTTCTATTCAGCCATATTGCACTGCCTTTTACTGTAGTGTTTTTGTTTGTTTCTGTTTAAAAGTGTTGCACTATATCGTGTTTATGGAGGGCTTCACTAGAAGTCACTGTGAATATTCTCATTCCTAAGAGTTAACTGGGCCGGGCGCGGTGGCTTAAGCCTGTAATCCCAGCACTTTGTGAGTCCGAGGCAGGTGGATCATTTGAGGTCAGGAGTTCGAGACCAGCCTGGCCAACATGGTGAAACCCCACCTAGTCTACTTAAAATACAAAAATTAGCCAAGCCTGGTGGTACACGCCTGTAAACCTTGCTACTCAGAAGGCTGAGGCAGGAGACTTGCTTGAATCTGGGAGGCAGAGGTTGCAGTGAGCCAAGATTATGCCATTGCTCTGCAGCAAGACTCTGTCTCAAAAAAAAAAAAGAGTGAACTGACAGAAAACCTATCCACATATTCTCGAGCAGCTAAAAAGACATGTTGGCAACCCTTCCAAGGATTAGATTGTTTTTCCATCCTCAACATGATACTTTATTTGCTTTTCCAGAATGTTTCTGTCTCAGAAAAAAGAAAATGAACTACCTTGCATTTCCAATGGAAACAGCTTGTGGAATGTTAGAAAGAATAATGAGTAAGGTAAATTCACTGCCTTACCCACGTACACAAATATAAATACTTTGGGAAGGTTTCTCATCAAAATAGTTTTGAAACTTTCAAAACTTACTCATGTCTGAAAGCTGTGCTCACTAATAATGTCTTGCCATTTGCTATAGGCTTACTATTAATGTTTCCTCAAAATTCTTCTGTTTCAACTTGAATTTCCAATGTGATGGTATTTGGAGGTAAGCCTTTGGGAGGTAATTAGATTTAGATGAAGTAAAGAGGGTATTTCCCCATCATGATGGGATTAGTTATATATATATACACACACACATATATATATGTATATATAAGCACACATATATATATACACACGTATATATATACACACACACATATTCAGGAGGAGACCAGGGGTTTTTCCCTCCTGCCATGTGAGAATACAATAAGAAGACAGCTATCTGCAAACCAGGGAGTGGGCCTTCACCAGACTGAATCTACTGCACCTTGATTTTGGGTACCATAGCCTCCAGGAAATGTCTGTTGTTTAAGCTACCCAGTCTATAATATTTTGTTACAGCAGCCTAAACTAAGACATCCTTACATGCTGATTTTAATGTTTTACACACACATACACATACACACACACACACAACAAAACAACAACAACAAAAAGGAGGAAAAGTATTATTTAGATTATTTTATACTGAGGGGAGGAGACAACTAAAACTCAAGCGAGTTTGGAAAATTGCCTAATGTCATACAGCCAATAGTGAAAGAAATGTAACCAGGTCAGTAAGGGTAGGACCAATCTCTGTTTCAAATATCAGTGCCTACTTTAGACCTGAAGGTTAAAGATAAAAGTGAAAGCCCCAGATGACTTAAACCATAGACTAAGGAGAGAGATACAGACACAGAAGAAAAGAGGGAGGAAGAAGGGAAAATAAACACAAATGCAGGTGGGGAAAGAGGCATATTCATTGAAGAGTTAGAAAGCCAAAGGTCATGGCCTCAGTCAGAGTTATCCCTCTGGCATTTAAATAAATATTTCACCTTGGTCACAGGCTATCCTACTGACTGAAAATCCTTACAGACCTAGTACCCCTTATATATGTATTTTTTGCATAACAGGAAACTTTCTTCAAACTATCATCTATTTCATAAAGTAAATAAAAGCCAATCTCAATAAAACCTTCTTCAGTGACAGATAACTTTCTTCTATAAGAATGCTGTCCCATTGTTTAAAAATGTTGGTTTTATATTGTAAGCTGAAAACGATCTCCACATAGCTTCCAGATATTGATCTTATTTCTTCCTTCTAAAAAATTAGCTTCCTCCACTCTTACACATGACAGCCATTTTTAAAATATGAGAACAGCAAGCATGTTTTTCCCTCCCCTTCTCCAGCATCAAAGTTTTCACTTCGCAGGATATTCAACATTGGTTTTATCATATATTCTTCATTAAGCCTGCTTTTCAGCCCCTTACTATGATCACATTTCTCTGGATACTTGAATTTATTTAAGTCTGTTATTAAATGTGACATCCAAATTTATCTAACATGAAGTGGAACAAGAATACCAGATTCTTAAGTATTTTGCTAGCTTTTGGGTAACCACATTACTGTAGAGTTGTCATACTCAAAGCTATTCCTTAAACATGAGTTGTTATCAAGCCAGCTATCTTCCTATCAAACTTATACAATTATCTTACTGAACCTGAATGTAGTATTTACATTAGTTAAAATTTGTTTAGTTTTTGTTTTTCCATATCTCACAATATTTAAATAATTCTAAAATGATTGGTTCCTGTTTCACAAATACCTTTAGCAGGCATTGTTATTACAGAATAATTAGAAGTATTAGATTAGGGAAAGGAAAGTAGATGCTAATGCAGAATCATGAAATTACAGCTGATGAAAATTTTAAAAAGATAGAAACACTCCAAAAATCAAACATAAGAAGCGATCTTAGTCCTTAAGCATTCACCGTAGGAGCAAAGAGCCTTACATACCTCATGCTGTTTTATTGTATCTATAGGCTACACTGTAACAGGTTTGAGCCATTAGGACAGCCTTCTCTTATGTTAACTGTCCTCTATTAAATAAGGCAGTCATATAACAGTCTTGGCAAACAGCCTTGCTTAAAAATATTTTAGTGCCTGTAGTGGGTTGAATGGTGGCTACCAAAAAGATATGCCCATATATTAATTCCTAGAACTTGTAAGTGATAACTTATCTGGGAAAAGGGGTCATTGCATATGTTATTAAATTAAATATTTAGAGCTGAGGAGCTTATCCTGGATTATCTCAGTGGGTTCTACACCCAATGACAAGATCTTTATGGGATTAAAAAAAAAGGAAACACATACATAGAGGAAAGGACAATATAAAAATGGAGGCAGAGAGTGGAGTACTTTGATGAGGTTATGAGCCAAGAAATGCTAAGAATTGTGGGAATCCATTAGAAACTAGGAGAAATAGGCATGGAATGGACTCTCAGCTAGAACCTTGAGGAAGAGTGCAAACTTGGAGACACAGACTTTGAGTTTGTAGCCTCCAGAACTACGAGATAATTAATTTCTGTTGTTTCAAGCCACTCAGTTTGTGGTAATCGGTAAGTCCAGGTCTAGAAAACTACTATAATGCTTAAAGTGCTAAATATCACTACCTGGCAAATTTATTTACAATGGAAATTGTTTAAAACTATATAAATGAAGAATTATAAGTAAAGAGTCAATATAATAATAATATGAATTACACAATCTGAAAAACATAGTATCATTATTATTTTAACCAATAAAATGAACTTACTCAACATGTAATGAAATCATATTTACTCATTTATCTGTGCCACTATTTATCCATCTATACATTCATCAGTCCATCCATTCATTTAAATTTAGCCCATCACCCAGCCAGTATTTATCTAAACATTGTGGAGTTTAACCTTAAATGAAAATTATTGCATGAGTTTATCCATCAATGTTGTTGATCACAAACATATTTTATAGGTTGTGATAATTTCAATCACCCAGATGCTTGCAAATTTCCAAATATTAAGAGTTATATAGGGCAGAGCAAGATGGCTGTACAGAAGCCTATACCATTCATCCCCCACAAGCAGGAAAACCAAATTTTAACAACTAACTACACACAAAAAGCACCATCACAAAAACTAAAAATCAGTTAAGCACACACAGTACTTGGGTTTTACTTCATATCACTGAAAGAGACACTGAAGAGAGTAGGAAGTCCCTCTTGAATTGCCAATGCCACCCTTTACCCAACCCCTGGCAGTGGCCACATGACAAGAGAGAATCTACCCTTGTGGGAGGGAGAGTGCAGCAACTAGGGTACTTTACATTCAACTCAGTGCTACCCTGTCACTGCAGAGAGAAAAGCTGTGCTGGGCTCAGCTGGCACCCACGCACAGAAAGTACATTTTGACGAACCCTAGCCAGAGAAGAATCGCCCATCTCAGTGGTCAGAAGCTGAGTTTCTTGGCAGGTCTCTTCACCACAGGACAAAGTGCTCTGGAATCCTAAGTAAACTTGAAAGGCAATCTAGGACACAAGGATGGCAATTACTGGGGAACTAGTAGTGCTGGGCTGGGCTTAGAGACAGTGGACTAGGTTGGCATGTGACCTAGAGAGAGAGCAGATGGGGTGGCTAAGGGAGTGCTTGAGACACACATTCCCAACCCTATGCAATGCTTCTGGCAGCAATAAAGGTAACTCCTTCTTTCTGCTTAAGGAAAAGAGAGGAAAGGATAAAGAGGAAGAGCAAAGAGGACTTCGTCTTGCATCCTGGATACCAGCTCAGCCACAATAGGATAGATATGGCAGTGGGCAGAGTTGTGAGGTGTCCCTTCTAGGACCTAGCTCCTGGATGACATTTCTAGACACACCCTTGGCCAGAAGGGTGGAACCCACGGCCTTGATGGGAAGGGCCAAATCATGGCAGGATTCATCAGCTGCTGGCTAAAGAACCCTTGGGCCATGAATAACCAGCAGCAATACACAGATAGTATATATACTCATCCGGAGCCAGGTAGCACTCTGTGGGCCTTGGGCTCTGGAACATGCTTGCTTCAGGTGTGACCCAGCACATTCCCAGCTGTGGTGACTGCAGCGAAAGACTCCTTCTGTTTGAGAATAGCAGAGAGAAAAGTAACAGAGACTTTGTCTTCCACCTTAGGTTCCAGTTCAGCCATGGAAGGTAAAGAATTAAGTGGGATCTTGGCATTCCTGAGTCCAGGCCTAGACTCTTGGACAGCATATCTGGACCTCCCGTGGCCCATAGAGAAACACACTGCCCTTAAGGGTGAGTCCCAGGCCAGGCAACATTCATCATAAGCTGACTGAAAAGCTCTTGGGCCACATCACTGGTGGCGTGGGAGAAACCCCCATTGGCTAGTGGTGGTAGTGGCCAGAGAGAGAGAGAGAGACTCCTTCACCTGTGGAAATGGGTGGGTAGAGTGGGAAGGACTTTGTCTTGTGGTTTGAGGGACAGCTTAGCCACAGTAGAATAGAACAACAGGTAAATTTCTAATGTTTTTGATTCCAATCTCTGGCTCCCAGACACCATCTCTGGACCCACTCAGGTCCTGGGGGAACTCACTGCTCTAAAAAGAGAGATACAAACATCGGTGGCTTTGCCACCTGCTGATTGCTGATTGTAGAGCCCTGAAACCTTGAATGACTATAAGTAGTAGACAGGTAGTGGTTACAGTGGGCCTTGGGCAAGACCCAGTGAAGTGTTGGCTTCAGGTCTGAAACAGCAAAGTCCCAGTGGTGCTGGACACATGGGTGCTTTTGTCCCCCAACACCATTTGCATGCAGCTCTAGCACAGAGATACTCCATTATTTGAAAGAAAGTAAGGAAAAAGTACAAGAGTCTTGGCCTGACAATCCAGAGAATTCTTCTGGATCTTATCCAAGACCACCACAGTTGTATGGCTATGAGTCTTGATATGGTTTTGTTGTGTCCCCACCCAAATCTCATCTTGAATTGTAGTTCCCATAATCCTTATATGTCATGGGATGGGCCAGGTGGAAATAATTGAATTACAGGAGCGATTTCCCATATCCTGTTCTCGTGATAGTGAGTTAGTTCCCATGAGATCTGATGGTTTTATAAGGGGCTTCGCACTTCACTGGGCACTCATTCTCTCCCATGCCATCCTGTGAAGAGATGCCTTCCACCATGATTGTAAGTCTCCTGAGGCCTCCCTAGCTGTACATAACTGTGAGTCAATTAAACCTCTTTTCTTTATAAATTACCCAGTCTTGAGTATGTCATTATAGCAGCATGAGAACAGACTAATACAGTAACTTGGTACCACATAGAGTGGGGTGCTGCTATAAGGATACAAAAAATGCACAAGCGACTTTGCAACTGGGTAAAAGGCAGAATTTGTAAGAGTTTAGAGGGCTCAGAAGAAGAAAGAAAGATGTGGGGAAGTTTGTAACTTCCTAGAGACTTGTTAAATGGCTTTGACCAAAATGCTCATAGTGATATGAAAAATGAAGTCCAGGCTGAAGTGGTCTCAGATGGAGATGAGGAACTTGTTGGGAACAGGAACAAAGGTGACTCTTGTTATGCTTAGCAAAGAGACTGGCAGCATTTCTCCCCTTCCCTAGAGATCCATGGAACTTTGAACCTGAACGAGATGATTTAGGGTATCTGGCAACAGAAATTTTAAAGCAGCAAAGCATTCAGGAGTAAGCAGAGCATAAAAGTTTAGAAAAATTGCAGCCTGATGATGCGACAGAAAAGAAATACCCATTTTCTGGTGAGAAATACAAACCTGCTACAGAAATTTGCATAAGTAACAAGGAGCTGAATGTTAATCACCAAGACAATGGGGAATAGGTCTCCAGGGAGTGTCACAGATCTTCTCCCATCCAGCCACAGGGCCAGAAGCCTAGGAGGAAAAAAATTGTTTCATGGACCAAGTCCAGGGCCTCCCTGCTCTCTGCAGCCTTGGAACAAGGTGCCCTGTGTTCCAGCTGTTTCAGCTCCAGCTGTGGCTAAAAGTGGCCAAGATACAGCTCAGGCCATTGCTTCAGAAGGTGCAAGCCCCAGTGCTTCACAGCTGCTACATGGTTTTGGGCCTGCCAGTGCACAGAATACAACAATTGAGGTTTGGGAACCTCCACCTAGATTTCAGGGGATGTATGGAAATTCCTGGATGTCCAGCAGAAGTCTGGTGCAGGGGTGGAGCCCTCATGAAGAACCTCTGTTAGGGCCGTATAGAAGGGAAATTTGGAGTTGGAGCCCCCACACAGACTCTCCACTTTGGCACTGCCCAGTGGAACTGTGAGAAGAAGACCTCTGTCCTTCAGACCCCAGAATGGTACAATCTACCAAAAGCTTGTACCATGCACCTGGAAAAGCAACAGACCCTCATTGCCAGCTGTGAAGGCAGCCAGGACGGAGAGTTGTGCCCTGCAAGGCTACAGGGACAAAGATGCCAAAGGCTGTGGGAGTCCTCCTCTTGCATCAGCATGACCTGGATGTGAGACATGGAGTCAGAGAAATACATTTTACAACTTTAAGGTTTAACGACTGCTCTATTGGATTTCAGACTTGGATGGGGCCTTTGGCTTTGGCCAATTTCTCCCATTTTGAATGGCTGTACCTACCCAAAGCCTGTAACCTCATTGTATCTAGGAAGTAACTAAACTGCTTGTGATTTTACCGGGCATAAGCAGAAGGGACTTGGCTTCTCTCAGATCACACTTTGTACTTCGACGTTTTAGTTCATGCCAAAATGAATTAAGACTGCAGGGGACTGTTACAAGGACATGATTGTGTTTTGAATTGTGAGGACATGAGATTTGGGAGGGACTAGGGGTAGAATGATATGGTTTGGCTGTGACCCCAATAAACTCTTATTTTGAATTGTAGTTCTCATTATTCCTACATGTCGTGGGAGGGACTAGGTGGAAATAATTAAATGATGGGGGTGGTTTCTTCCATCCTGTTCTGATAATAGTGGTTAGTTCTCATGAGATCTGATGGTTTTATAAGGGGCTTCCCCCTTCGCTAGGCATTCATTCTCTCCCCTTTTGCCCTGTGAAGAGGTGCCCTCTGCTATAATTGTAAGTTTCCTGAGGCTTCTCATGCCATCCGGAACTGTGAATCAGTTAAAACTTTTTCCTTTATAAATTTCCCAGTCTCAGTTATTTCTTCATAGCAGCATGAGACTGGACTAATTTAAGTCTGCAAGAGCCACAGCATTATTGGGCTTGAGACCCATGTATCTTTGAATACCTGAAAAGCCTTCACAGGAAGGACAGGAACAAAAATGTCCAGACTGCAAAAACTACAAAAAAAAATACTCCCACATAAGAATGTTATAAATACCAAGCTGATCTAAACCAAAGAAGACTACCTCAAGACACTTAAAAATCAAACTTCCAAATATCAGTGATAAGGAAAAGATTCTAAAGAGAGCAAGAGACAAGAAAAAATATTATACAATGGAGCACCAATATACCTGGTAGCAGACTTTTCAGTGGAGATCTTACATTCCAAGAGAGAGTGACATGACATATTTAAAGTGTGGAAGGAAAAAAAATTACCCTAAAATAGTATATCTGGTGAAAATAATCTTCAAGAATGATGAAGAAATAAAGACTTTCTTAGCAAAACAAAAGCTTATGCTTTTCATCAACACCAGACCTATTCTACAAGAAATGTTAAAGGGAATTGTTCACTCAGAAAGAGAAGGATGTAACTAAGCAATAAAAAATCATCTGAAGGTACAAAACTCACTGGTAATAGCAAATAGAAAACACAGAACATTATAACATGGTAATTATGATGTGTAAACTACTCTTAAGTAGAAAAACTAAACAATGAACCAATCAAAATAATTACATGATATAGTTTTTCATAAAAAACTAATCAATGAACTAACCCAAAATAGTAATTACATAACAATATCATATAAATAGAAACAACAAAAGTTAAAAAGCAGAAAGGCAAAGTTAAAGTGTAGAGTTTTATTAGTTTGCTTTTTGCTTTTACCTTTGTTTGTTTTTGCAAAAAGTATTTATCAGCTAAATATAATGGGTTAGAAGATAGTATTTACAAGTCTCATGGCAACCACAAATCAAAAAGCCTACAACAGATATACACACACAAAAAAAGCAAAAAAATTAAATCATAACATCTGATAAAATCATGTTTAATTTAAGAAAGATGGGAAGAAAATAAAAAAAAGGAAAGACCTCAAAACAACCAGAAAACAAATAACAAAATGTCAGGAGTAAGTCCTTACTTATCAATAATAGCATTTAATATACACGCATGAAAGTCTCCAGTCAAAAGACATAGAGTGGTTGAACGAATACAAAAGCAAGACCTAATGATGTGTTGGTTACAAGAAAAACACTTCATCTATAGAGATACAGATAGACTGAAAATGAAGAAATGGGAAAGAACAGCAGTAGCTATACTTATATCAGACAAAATAGGTTTTAAGACACAAACTGAAAAAAGACACAAAGAAGGTCACTAAATAAATTTAAAAAGTCATTTCAGCAAGAAGATATAACAGTTTTAAATATATATCCATCAAACACTGGACCACTTAGATATATTTAGCAAGTATTATTAGAGCTAATGAGAGAGATAGACCCCAATAAAATAATTACTGGAGATTTCAACACCTCACTTTCATCATTGGACAGACCTTCCAGACAGAAAATCAACAAATAAATATCAGACTTAATTTGCACTAAAGAACAAAGGGACCTTACTGATATTTACAGAATATTTCACACAAGGGCTCCAGAATAAACATTCATTTCATCAACAAATGGATAATTATCAAGAATAGGCCATATATTAGGTCATGAAACAATTCTTAAAACATTCAAAATTATTGAAATAATACAAAGGATCTTCTCTGACCACAATAGAATGAAACTTACAGTCAATAACAAAAGGAATTTTGGAAACTACACAAATGCATGGAAATTAAAAAAAAATGTTCCTGAATACCAGTGGGTCAATGAAGAAATTAAGAAGAAAATTGAAAAATTTGTTGAAACAAGTAATGGAAGCACAACATACCAAAATCTATGGGGTATGGCAATGGCAGTACTAATAGGTAAATTTATAACTTTAAGTGCCTGCATCAAAAAATAAAAAGGAAAATGTAAACAAGATACCGATCAATGCATCTTAAAGAACTAGAAATCAAGGGAAAATCAAATCCAACATTAGCAGGAAAAAAAATAAGTATCAGATAGGGATAAATGAAATTAAAATGAAGAAAACAATGCAAAAGCTCAAAGACATGAAACTTTGTATTTTTTTAAAAAAGTAAATGAGATCGACCAATTTTTAGCCAGACTAAATAAGAAAGTGAGAAGAACCAAATAATAAAATTAGAGATGAAAAAGGAGACATTACAACTGAAACTGTAGAATTTCAAAGGATCATTAGTGGCTACTCTGAGCAATTGTATGCCAATAAATTGGAAAATCTAGAGGAAATTGAATAATTCTTAGACATACCATACCAAGATTGAAATCCAAAACCTGAACAGACCAATAACAAGTAACAAGATTGAAATGATAATAAAAAGTCTCCCTGTAAAAAAGGCTTGGGATACAGTTGTTTCACTGTTGAATTTTACTAAACAAGTAAGAAAAACAAACAAACAAAAACTGACGCCAACCCTAATCAAACAATTACAAAAAACAGAGGCAGAGTGAATACACTTGAACTCATTCTATGAGGTCGTTACCCTGATATTACAATCAGATGAAGTCATTTTGAGAAATAATACTATAGACCAATATCACTGATGAATATTCATGCAAGAATTCTCAACAAAATACTAGCAAACCTAATTCAACAATCCATTAAATAGATAATTCATCATAACCAGTGGGATTTATCCCAGAGATGTAAGTATGGTTCAACAGAATGAAGAAAAAACTCATGTGATCATTTGAATGGATGCTCCAAAAGAATATGACAAAGTTCAACATTCCTTCAGGATAAAAAACCCTCAAAAACCTCGTTATAAAAAAAAGATAGTGCAAGCCTTGCTACCATGAACTGAAGAGCTCTGGGGCTCTAAACAACCTTGAAATATAGTCTAGGCCACGAGGTCTTCAACTCCTAGATAGGTCCTAGGGCTGAAATGAGCTCAGAGCCAGGGGAACTGGGGGACACCTGACCTACTGAGATACCAGGCCGGGCAGCTGAGAAAGTGCTTGTGTCACACCTCTCCCAACCCAGGCTGCACATTTTGCAGGTCTAAAAGAGACCCCTTTCTTCTACTTGAGAGAAGACAGAAGAGTAAAGAAGTCTTTGTCCTTCATCTTGGATACCAGTTCAGCCACAGTAGAATAGGGCAACAGCCAGAGTCATGAGGACCCATTTCCAAGACCTAGCTTCCAAATAACCTTTCTGGATACATCCTGGGCCAGAAGAAAACCCACTGCCTTGAAGCAAATGACCTTGCCCTGATGGGACCCGTAACCTGCTGACTAAAGTGTTCTTGGACCATGAATAGCCAGTAGTGATATCCAAGTAGCATACCATGGGCCTTGGGTTAGACTTAGAGACTTGTTCACTTTAGGTGAGCCTCAGCACATTCCCCAGCTATGGTGGTCACAGGGAGGCATTCTTGTTTGAGAAAAATGGAGAGAAAAGTGAAGAAGACTTTGCCTTCCACCTTAGGAACCAGCTCAGCCAAAGAGGGCTAGAGACCCAAGTGGACTTATGGGGTCTGGGAGACTAGACCTTTGATCTTGGACAGCATTTATGGACCTGCCTTGGGCCAGAAAAGAGCCCATTGTCCTGAAAGGTGGGTCCCAGTCCAGGCAGCACTCACCAAAACTGAATGAGGAGCACTTGAGCCTTGTGGGAATATCAGTGGTACCGCGCTAGTACCTCCAATGGGCCTGTTGTGATGGTGGCCATGGGATGGGGCTCTTCTGCCTGTGTAAAGAAGAGGGAAGATAGGGAAACACTGTGTCCTGTGATTTGAGTGCCACCTCACCCAAAACCCAATAGAACACCAGGTAGACTATTAACCTTTTTTACTCAAATCTCTGGCTTCCAGAAAACACCTCTGTACCTTCCCAGGCCTAAGGGAACTCACTGCCTTGAAGCAAAGAACACAAGCCTGACTGGCTTCACCATGTTCTGATTGTAGAGTTCCAGGGCCTTGAGCAAATATAGACATTGGCCATGCAGCAGTTACAGCAAGCCTTGGGTGAGACTCAGTGCTGTGCTGGCTTCAGGTCTGACCTCGTGCAGCCATAGTGATTGTGGCCACAGGGGTGCCTGTGTCACTCCACCCTCAGCTCCAGGAAGATCAGAACAAAGACAGAAAGAGACACTGTTTATTCAGAAGAAAATAAAGTGAGAAAAAAAGTATCTCTTCCTGGTGAACCAGAAAATTTTTCGGTGTCTTATTCAAGACCACAAGGTGGTACCTGTACAAGCCTGAGAGGGCCACAGCATTACTGGGCTTGGAGTGCACCCTAAAGCAGATATAACTTAGATAACAACTCAAAAATATCTTTAAATATCTGGAAAATGTTTTCAAAAAAGATGGATATAAACAAGTTCAGACTGCCAAGACTACAATAAATAACTAATTCTTCAATGCCCAAACAGACAAACATCCATAAGCATAAACACCCTCGGGAAAACATGAGTTCACAGAATGAAGTAAACGAGACACCAGGGACCAATTTCAGAGATACAGAGATTTGTGACCTTTCAGACAGAGAATTTGAAGTAGCTGTGCTGTTTGGGGAAAACTTAAAGATATTCAAGATAACACAGAGATGGAACTCAGAATTCTATTAGATAAATTAAACAAAGATTAAAACAATTAAAAAGAATCAAGCAGAAATTCTGGAGTTACAGGGTGCAAGTGACATACTGAAGAATGCATGACCATCTTTTAATAACAGATTGATCAAAGAGAAGAAAGAATTAGTGACCTTGAAGTCAGGCTATGTAAAAAGACATGGTCAGAAAAGATAAAAGAAAAAAGTAAAAAAATAAAGCACACCTACAAAAATCTAGAAAATAGTCTCGAACGGGCAAATCCAAGAGTTATTGACCTTGAAGAGGAGGCAGAGAAAGAGATAGGAACAGAACGTTTATTCAAAAAGATAATAACAGAGAACTTTCCACATCTAGAGGAAGTTATTAATATTCAAGTACAAGGAGGTTATAGAAAATAAAACAAATTTAACTGAAAAAAGACTACCTCAAGGCACTTAACAAACTCCTAAAGATCAAGGATAATAAAAGGATCCTAAAACACGGAAGACAAAAGCAACAAAAAACATATAATGAAGCTCAAATTCACCTGGCAACAGACTTTTTAGTGGGAACCTTATAGGCCAGGAGGGAGTGTCATTACATATTTAAATTATTGAAGAAAAAAAAAAACACACTTTTAACCTAGAATAGTATAGCCAAGGGCCGTTACAAGTATAATATATAATAGTTTGAAAGAAAATATTATTCAAAAACAGAAATAACGACTTTTAAGGACAGACGAAAGCTGAGGGATTTTATTAACCACAGATCTATCTTATGAAAAAAGTTAAAGAGAGTAATTCAATCAGAAAGAAAAGGACATTAATGAGCCAAAAAAGTAATGCCAAGGTAGAAAAAAAAACTCACTGTTAATACTAAGTAAACAGAAAAACACAGAGTATTATAATACTGCTGCTGTGGTGTGTAAACTACCCTTATCTTAAGTAGAAAGGCCAAACAATAAATCAATCAAAATAATGACTACAACTATTCAAACATAGACAGTACAATAAGATATAAACAGAAACAATGAAAAGCTAAAATGTGATGAAGGTAAAGTGTAGAGTTTTTATTAGTTTTCTTTTTGGTTATTTGTGTATGCAAACAGTGTTAAGTTGTTATCACCTTAATAGTATTTGCAAGCCTCGTCGTAACCTCACATCAGAAAAATAACAAGAGATATACAAAAAATAACAAATTAGTAATCAAATCATATCACCAAAGAAAGTTATCTTCTCTAGAAAGAACACAAGAAGGAAGGAAAATAGGAGGAGAAGTCCCCCAACAACCAGAAACCAAATTATTAAATGGCAGGAGTAAGTCCTTATCAATAATAACATTGAATGTAAACGGGCTGTGAATGCAGTGATCAAAAGATACATAGGGGCTAAATGATTTAAAAGCAAGACCTCATGCTCTGTTGCCTACAAGAAACATATTTCACCTAGAAAGAGACATATAGATTGAAAATAAAGGGATGGAAAAGGATATCCAATGTAAGTGGAAACCAAAAAAGAGAAGGTATAGTTATACTTATATAAAAAGTAGATTTTAAAACAAGAAACTATAAGAAGAGACAAATAAGGTCACTAAATAATGATAACAAAATCATTTCAGCAAGAAGATATAACAATGGTAATATATATGCATACAAAACTGGAGCACCCAGAAACATAAAGCAAATATTGTTAGAGATAAAGAGAGAGATGGACCCCAAGACAATAATTGCTGGAGACTAAAACACCCCACCTTCAGCATTGGGTAGGCCTTCCAGACAGAAAATCAACAAAGAAACTAAGATTTAATATGCACCATAGAACAAATGGGTCTAATTGATATTTGCAGAACATTTCATCCAAGATCTCCATTCTTTATACACATGTTAATTATATCAATGTCAACACATGAATCATTCTCAAGGACAGACCATATATTAGGTTACCAAACAATTCTTAAAACATTCAAAAATTGAAGTAATATCAAGTATCATCTCTGACCACAATGGAATAAAACTAACACTCAATAACAGGAGGAATTTTGAAAGCTACACAAACATACAGAAATTAGATAATATTCTCCTGAGTGATAAAGTGGTCAATAAAGAAATTAAGAAGAAAATTTAAAAATTTCTTGGAACAAATGATAATGGAAACACAACATCCCAAAACTATGGGGTACGCTAAAAGCAGTACTAAGAAGAAAATTAATAGTTATAAGTGCGTACATTAAAAAAGTAGAAAACCTCCAAATGAACAAAATAATGCTTCATCTTTAGGAGCTAGAGAAGCAAGAGGAAACCAAGCTGAAAATTAGCAAAAGAAAAAGAAATAATAAACGTTAGGTCAGAAATGAATGAATTTGAAAAGAATAAAGCAAAAGATTAATGAAATAAAAATCTGTGTTTTTTGAATACAAAAAATTTGACAAATCTTTAACCAGTCTAAGCAAAAAAGAGAAATAAGCCAAACAAATATAATCAGAGATGGAAAAGGAGATATTACCATTGATACTGCAGAAATTCAAAGGATCATAAGTGGTTGCTACGTGGAACTGTGTGCTAATAAATTGGAAATCTGGGAGAAAAGGATGAATTCTTAGACATATACAACAAACCAAAATTTAACCAGGAAGAATCCAAAACCTGAAAAGACCAATAACAAGTAACAAGATAAAAGGTGTAATAAAAGTCTCCCAGCAAAGTAAGCCTGGGACCTGATGACTTCACTGCTGAATTCTACCATACCTTTAAAGAAAGAATACAAATCTTACTCAATACATTCTGAATAATAGAGGAGGAGAAAATAGTTCCAAACTCACTCTGTGAGGCCAGTATTTACATGATGCCAACAACAGACAAAGACAAATCAAACGAATAAACAAACAAACCAAAAAAACCCTATAGGCCAATGTCACTGATAATTATGGATGCAAAAATCCTCAACAAATTATTAGCAAAGTGAATTTGGCACTACATTAAAAAGATCATTCATTGTGACCAATTGGGATTTATCCCTGGGATGCAAAGATCATTCAACATGCACAAATAAATTAATGTGATACATCATAGCAACAAAATAAAGGACAAAAAGTGTATGATCATTTTAATTGATGCTGAAAAATAATTTCATAAATTTCAACATCCCTTCATGATAAAAGCCCTCAACAAACTGCGTATATAAGGAGCACACCTCAACATAATAAAAGCTATACAAGACAGACCAACAGCTAGTATGATATTGAATGAGGAAAAACTGACAGCCTTTCCTCTGAGATGAGAAACACAAAGACGCCAACTTTTACTACTGTTATTCAACATAGCACAGGAAGACCTAGGTAGAGCAATCAGACAAGAGAAAGATAAAAGGGGGGTCCAAAATGGAAAGGAAGAAGTCAAATTATCCTTGTTTGCAGATGATAAAATCTTATTTTAAAAAAACTAATGACTCCATGAAAAAACTATTGGAATTGACAAACACATTCAGGAAAGTGGCAGGATATAAAATTGACATACAAAAATTAGTAGCATATCTATATGCCAAGAGTGAAAATTGTGGAAAAGAAATAAAAAAATAATACAATTTACAATAGCCACAAATGAAATTAAATACCTAGGAATTTCTTAATCAAAGAAGTGAAAGATCTCTACAATGAAAACTGTAAATCATTGATGAAAGAAATTGAAGAGGACACCAAAAAATGGAAAGATATTTCATGTTCATAGATTGGAAGAATGAACATTGTTAAAATGTCCATACTGTCAAAGGAATCTTTAGATTCAATGAAATCCCTATCAAAACACCAACAACGTTCTTCACGGAAATAGAAAATATTATAAAATTTATATGGAGCCACAAAAGACTCAGAATAGCCAAAGCTATCCTGAACGAAAAGAACATAACTGGAGGAATCACACTCCCTGACTTCAAATTATATTACAAAGATATACTAACGAAAATAACATGGTACTGACATAAAAACAAACATAGGGATCAGTGAAACAGAAAGGAGAATGCAGAAACAAATTCACACACCTACAGATAACTCATTTTTGACAAAGAGGTCAAGAAGATACACCTGGGAAAAGATATTCTCTTCAGGAAATGGTGCTGGGAAAACTAGAAATCCAAATGCAGAAGAATCAAACTAGATTTCCCTCTTTTGCCATACACAAAAGTCAAATCAAAATGGATTAAAGAATTACAATTAAGACTTCTAACTATGAAACTACTATGAGAAAACATTGGGGAAACTCTCCAGGACATTGGTCTGGGCAAAATCCTCTTGTGCAATATTCCACAAGCACAAGCAATAAAAAAAAAATTGGACAAATGAGATCACATAAAGTTAAAAAGCTTCTGCACAACAAAGGAAACAACCATCGAAATAAAGGCATAACCCACAGAAAGGAAATATCTTTGCAATCTACCAATCTGACAAGGGATTAATAACTGGAATATATAAGGAGCTCAATCAACTCTATAAGAAACCATCTAATAATCCATTTACAAAATGGGCAAGATACCTAAATAGACATTTCCAAAAACAAGACATACAAATGGCAAACAGGCATATGAAAAGGTGCTCGACATCAATGAAAGTCAGGGAAATGCAAATTAAAACTACAATAAGATTTCATCTCATCCAAGTTGAAGTTGCTTGTATCCAAGACAGGCAATAACAGATACTGGATAGGTTGTGGAGAAAAGGGAACCCTCACACATTGTTGTTGAGAATGTAAACTAGTACAACCACTGTGGAGAACACTTTGGAAGTTCATTAAAGAAACACTAAAAATAGAGTTCCCATATAATCCAGAAATCCCATTGCTGAGTATATACCCCAAATAGGGAAGTCATTAAAACACAGAGATATCTGCACTCGTAAGTTTGTTGCAGCACTGTTCACGGTAGCCAAGACTTGGAAGCAACCTAAGTGTCCATCAGCAGATGAATGGATAAAGAAAATGTGGCACACATACACAATAGAGTACTATTCAGCTATAATAAAGAATGAAATCCTGTCATCTGCAACAGCATGGATAGAACAGGAGTTAGTATTTTAAGTGAAATAAGTGAGATACAGAAAGACAAGCCTTGCATGTTGCCACTTATTTGCGCTAAAAATTAAAACAAATTCATGGAGATAGAGAGTAGAAGGATGGTTAACAGGGGATGTGAAGGGTAGTGGCAGTATGGGGGTAAAGTTGTGCAGGTTAATGTACAAAAAATATTTAGAAAGAATGAATAAGATGTAGTATTTGCTAGCACAACTGTGTGACTATAATAAAAAATAACTTAATCGTACATTTTAAAATAACTAAGAGAGTATAACTGGATTGCTTTTGAAACAAGGAATAAATGTTTCATTTGATGCATTTATCTGTATATATAATTTACTCTGACATGATTAATATGCATTGCATACCTGGATCAAAATATTTCATGTAACCAGTAAATATGCAGAGCTACTGTGGACCTGCAAAAATTAAAAAAGAAAAAGAAAAAGAAACAATAATTACATATGTCAGAAAAAAAGGTAAAATTTTCTCTAGATATACAATCATGTTGTCTGCAAACAGGGACAATTTGACTTCCTCTTTTCCTAATTGAATACCTTTTATTTCCTTCTCCTGCCTGATTGCCCTGGCCAGAACTTCCAACACTATGTTGAATAGGAGTGGTAAGAGAGGGCATCCCTGTCTTATGCCAGTTTTCAAAGGGAATGCTTCCAGTTTTTGCCCATTCAGTATGATATTGGCTGTGGGTTTGTCATAAATAGCTCTTATTATTTTGAAATATGTCCCATCAATACCTAATTTATTGAGAGTTTTTAGCATGAAGAGTTGTTGAATTTTGTCAAGGGCCTTTTCTGCATCTATTGAGATAATCATGTGGTTTTTGTCTTTGGTTCTGTTTATATGCTGGATTACATTTATTGATTTGTGTATATTGAACCAGCCTGGCATCCCAGGGATGAAGCCCACTTGATCATGGTGGATAAGCTTTTTGATGTGCTGCTGGATTCGGTTTGCCAGTATTTTATTGAGGATTTTTGCATCAATGTTCATCAAGGATATTGGTCTAAAATTCTCTTTTTTGTTTGTGTCTCTGCCCGCCTTTGGTATCAGGATGATGCTGGCCTCATAAAATGAGTTAGGGAGGATTCCCTCTTTTTCTATTGATTGGAATAGTTTCAGAAGGAATGGTACCAGTTCCTCCTTGTACCTCTGGTAGAATTCGGCTGTGAATCCATCTGGTCCTGGACTCTTTTTGGTTGGTAAGCTATTGATTATTGCCACAATTTCAGATCCTATTATTGGTCTATTCAGAGATTCAACTTCTTTCTGGTTTAGTCTTGGGAAAGTGTATGTGTCAAGGAATTTATCCATTTCTTAATTGACAAATGGGATCTAATTAAACTAAAGAACTTCTGCACAGCAAAAGAAACTACCATCAGAGTGAACAGGCAACCTACAGAATGGGAGAAAATTTTCGCAACCTGCTCATCTGACAAAGGGCCAATATCCAGAATCTACAATGAACTCAAACAAATTTACAAGAAAAAAACAAACAACCCCATCAAAAAGTGGGCGAAGGACATGTACAGACACTTCTCAAAAGAAGACATTTATGCAGCCAAAAAACACATGAAAAAATGCTCACCATCACTGGCCATCAGAGAAATGCAAATCAAAACCACAATGAGATACCATCTCACACCAGTTAGAATGGCGATCATTAAAAAGTCAGGAAACAACAGGTGCTGGAGAGGATGTGGAGAAATAGGAACACTTTTACACTGTTGGTGGGACTGTAAACTAGTTCAACCATTGTGGAAGTCAGTGTGGCGATTCCTCAGGGATCTAGAACTGGAAATACCATTTGACCCAGCCATCCCATTACTGGGTATATACCCAAAGGACTATAAATCATGCTGCTATAAAGACACATGCACACGTATGTTTATTGTGGCACTATTCACAATAGCAAAGACTTGGAACCAACCCAAATGTCCAACAATAATAGACTGGATTAAGAAAATGTGGCACATATACACCATGGAATACTATGCAGCCATAAAAAATGATGAGTCCATGTCCTTTGTAGGGACATGGATGAAATTAGAAATCATCATTCTCAGTAAACTATCGCAAGAACAAAAAACCAAACACCAAATATTCTCACTCATAGGTGGGAATTGAACAATGAGAACACATGGACACAGGAAGGGGAACATCACACTCTGGGGACTGTTGTGGGGTGGGGGAGGGGGGAGGGATAGCATTGGGAGATATACCTAATGCTAGATGATGAGTTAATGGGTGCAGCGCACCAGCATGGTACATGTATACATATGTAACTAACCTGCACATTGTACACATGTACCCTAAAACTTAAAGTATAATAATAATAATAATAATATCTCTATGTGCAAATGGCATGATCCTATATGTAAAAAAAACAAAAAAAAATTCAGAAATAATAAAATAGTAAAGTTGTAGAATACAAAATTGACATACAAAAGTCAGTAGCATTTTTTATACACAAATAATGACCTAACTGAAAAAGAAGTTTAAAAAAAATCCCATTTACAGTAGCATCACAAAAGTACCTAGGAATAAATTTAACCAAGATAGTGTTTCCAGCTTTTGATTGTTATGAATAATGTTAAAATGAAGATTTATGTACAAGTTTTTATGTAGGTATGTATTTTCAGTTCTCTTTGGCAAATACCTAGGAGTAAAATTCTTGGGTCATATGGTAACTCTATATTTAATTTTCTGTTTTTATATTCTCTATTTTAATTATCTTGCTCTAATCCTTATTACTGTTATTATTTGATTTTTTCTTTTAAAAATACAAGTTATTACAGCTATGATTTCCTTTCTTCCTTCCTTCCTTCCTTCCCTCCCTCCCTCCCTCCCTCCCTTCCTTCCCTCCTTTCTTCCTTCTCTCCTGCCTTCCTTCCTGTCTTTCCTTCTTTCTTTCTTTCAGACAGCATCTCGCTCTGTCACCCAGGCTGGAGTGCAATGGTGCAATCTCAGCTCACTGCACACTCAACCTCCCAGGCTCAACAATCTTCACAATCCAGCCTCTCAAGTAGCTGGAACTATAGGCACACAGTACCACGCCTGGCTATTTTTTTTTTTTTTGTATTTTTTTGTAGATATGGGGTTTCTTCATGTTGCCAAGACTGGTCTTGAACTCCTGAGCTCAAGTGATCCTCCTGCTTCGGCCTTCCAAAGTACTGGGATTACAGGCATAAGTCAGCATGCCCAGTACTGCTAAAATTTTTATAGCACTACTTTATCTGCATCCTGTAAGTTTACATTTTGAGTTTGTTTTTGTTTCAAAGTATTTTCAAATTTTCCTTGTGATTTCTTCATTTGTTCATTGATTATTTAGTGATAGATTGTTTAATTTCCACATATCTGTGATTTTTCTAATTTTACCTGTTACTAATTTCTATTTTAATTTCATTGTGGATGTGGAACATGCTTTGTGTGATTTTAAAAATTTTAATTTTATTAAAACATTTTATGGCCAAAACAAACATGTAGTTAATTCCAGAGAAAGTTTCAAGACCCTTGAGACAAAGATATATTGGCCTGTTGTTGGATACAGAATTCTGTACATGTTGATAGTGGTTTACAGTATTGTTCAAGTATTCTAGTTCCTAGCTTATCTTTTGTCTAGTTCTGGTCATTATAAAACATGAGATACTGGACTCTCCAGCTATTATTATTGAATTATCCATTTCTTCCTTCAATTCTGTCAGTTGTTTTATGTATATTTGTGTTCTGTTGTCAAGTACGTATGTCTATAATTGTTGTATCTTCTTAATAGATTGCCTCTTTTGTCATTTTAAAATGACCTTCATTTTCTCTAGTAAGAATTTTTGTCTTAAAGTCTATTTTGTCTGATACTAATATAGCCAGCCCAGCTTTGTTTTTGTTAGTATAGTATGCATAGTATCATTTTGCATATAATTTTCCATCCTTTTGGCCTTTGGCTTTCCTGGTTTCTGATGATAAATTACCTAGCAGTCTTATTGAAGAATACTTGTATATGATGAATCATTTATCTCTTATGGCTTTCAAGATTCTCTCCTTGACTTTGGCTTTTGTAAGTTTATTATAATTTCTTCCAGTGTGGGTCTCTTTGAATTTATACAATTTGGAGCTTATTGAACTTCTTAAATATGTTGTGGCATGCCTTCAACACTCAGGAAGGCAGTTTACACCTCTGCCTTAGCCTTCACTTTCTGCTGTGCATAGCGTGGAGATCTTTCAGAGGTTAGACCTTAGGCATATATGCAACTCTGGTCATGTGCATAGCCTTACTTATACATAAACTTCTAGTTTCTGAGAAATATGTCCAAGTTATTCAAAGCCCTCTTTGGATGTCTTTATCCCACAGGCTTTTCTTTTACATTTTTTGGTCAGCTTGCTGATTCCCCCAACTGTTGTCTCTGTCTCAGGTAGCTGAAATATTAAAAATTTGCCACTGATTTCATTCAACAAAAGACCCCAGAAAAGCCTGTGTCTACCGTGTGAGCTCTGAATCAAGTCAAATAAAGGCATTGCTTGTGAATGGGTCATTTTTATTTATTTCTGCTAAGATCAATGAAATCACAGAGCCACAATTTTTATTTGGATAATCTATATAAAACTAGAGAAGGTCAGAGTTACAGGGACTCCAAAATTGTTTATTCCACTAACCTCATGTTACAGGTGGCAGAATTGAGGTCCAGAGAAAGAAAAGGACTTTCACAAGACAATCCCTTAAGATGGTCACAAAAATACTGGGTGGGCTTTATGCCTCTAAGGCAGAAAATACCGTGGTTCCCAGTGTTTAAATTTTGTAATCAAAATCTACTCTGTTCTTATTTTCTGCTGGACAGAAAACTGAACATTACAGGTGTGGTATATGTGCTTGGTGTAAAATGAAACTTTTAACTACCCACAGTATCTGGGACTCTACTGGAGTTCCAGCTCTTATGCCTGTTTGCTTATATTTCTAGATGGCAATATAACATAGTTCACAGGTCATGTGTATGCTCTGACAGGTGGCTTCAAGCCCCAGGTGGACATACACAGGGTTTGCATAATTTTCTAGCTCAAATGATTATGGAACAATTGATTATGAAGCATAAAAAGGAGAGCCAAATAACCACATTTAGGATTACATGGTTTACAAAGGACATAAAATACAACAGATACTGTTGGGTGAGATAGGAAGACGAACACTGGGGAAGAATAACCTAAAAGCTGTGGCATTCTAAGGGTCTCCTGGCCTGTGGGAAAACCTGAAAGAAGCCAGGCTTAAGACCAGGACTGACACCTTCTAGCTCCTTTATGCCCTTCCCATTATAAGATAAAAATGACCTCATAAACTCCATTAATCTAAGGGATGGAGAAAAATGTGTTTCTCTTTTGGGTGACTGACATTCACAGAGACATCTGGTCCAGGACAAGAGGTAACTGAATGAAATAGCTCCCTAAAGTGAATTTTAGGCATTAGTGAATGAGATGTTTGTAGACAGGGAGATGTATTTTAAATTGACTTTGAGGAGAGACAAAAGACAGCTATGTTTAGTGTAAACTCCAAAGTCATTATGTTCCAGGGAGAAGAGATAGAGTCACGCTTACAAGCATATGTCTTTTTTTCCCCTTACTGTTGTTACACTGCCCTTCATTCCCCTGCCACCTCTGCCACAGCTGCTGAGGTAATATCAGAGAAAAAAGCCCTCTTGTCTGGTGACTATAGTAATGCAAGCACAGTGTAGGTTGATAAAAATGTTTATCGTGAACACCGGCACATGGGAATAGGGTTGCCAGGTGATTTGTGCTAAATCAAATAATTTTTTCTTTTAGTTTTCTGTATAATAAAACAAAACAAAGTATATGTAAATGTTTTTTATTATTATAATTTCAGATTTTTGTGATCAATTTCTCATTCATATACACCCAGAAAGGGCATAGGAAAATTAAGCTTTTAGTCTCTTCTATTGTTAAATATTTAATAATATATGAAAAAGGTGCTATTTAAAGAAACACAGAGATATGTTTGTAATTGTGATATAATTATACTTTCTTCTAATTTAACCATTTGCCAGGAAAATGATCAGCTATTAGAATTAACTATTCAATTTAAAACCTATGGGGGTATATGATGAAGATATATTTCTGCTTAAATAGTTGCTTGACTCATTGTACCCTGGTGACTTGGTATTGTTGTGATAATCCTATGAGTTGTAAGTATTTTATCTTCCTGAGCTAGTGTAATTGAAGTGTTTGTAGCTCTTCTTGATTTTGTTTCCAAATTTGATGAAAATATTAGAATTCTTACAATGTGCAAAAAAAAAACAAAGGGTGAACTTAATATTTTTCAATGTAAATATAAAGAGAGAATTGGGCCATTCAGAAATAACCTAGGTAATACTGGTTAGTGATTAGTTAAGTGCAAAAACAAAACAAAAACTAAAATCTATCATCTTACTGTCTTTCCTGTTAGAAATGCCATAATGTTAATTCCATGAAGATGAGATTCTTGTTTTAGGGTTTCTTGTTTACCTCTGCAGCCTCACTATCTAGAGTACTGTTAGGCTGAGAATAGGCATACATTCAATAAACATTTATTGAATGAATATTGAAGAAGTAGTCATTTCAGGCTATAGAGAAGATTTTTAAACATAAATATGAACAGGTGGCTAGCAAAATAGCCAAGTTGGAACAGCTCCGGTCTACAGCTCCCAGCGAGATCAATGCAGATGATGGGTGATTTCTGTACTTCCAACTGAGATACCTGGCTTATCTCATTGGGACTGGTTAGACAGTGGGTGCAGCATAAGCTAAAAACCTTGAAAAAAGTTTAGAAGAATCACTAACTAGAATAACCAGTATAGAGAAGAATATAAATGACCTGATGGAGCTGAAAAACACAGCACGAGATCTTCCTGAAACATACACAATTATCAATAGCCAAATTGATCAAGCGGAAGAAAGGATATCAGACATTAAAGATCAACTTAATGAAATAAAGTGTGAAGAAAAGATTAGACAAAAAAAAATAATGAAAAGGAGTGAACAAATCCTCCAAGAAATATGGGACGGTGTGAGAAGACCAAACCTAAGTTTCATTGGTATACCTGAAAGTGAGGGGTGGAAGGGAACCAAGTTGGAAACATTTCAAAATATTATCCAGGAGAACTTCCACAACCTAGCAAGACAGGCCAACATTCAAATTCAGGAAATACAGAGAACACCAAAAAGATACTCCTCGAGAAGAGCAACTCCAAGACACATAATCATCAGATTCACCAAGGTTGAAATGAAGGAAAAAATGTTAAGGGAAGCCAGAGAGAAAGGCCAGGTTACCTACAAAGGGAAGCCCATCAGATCAAGAGCAGATCTCTCTGCAGAAACCCTAAAAGCCAGGAGATACTGGGGGCCAATATTTAACATGCTTAAAGAAAAGAATTTTCAATCCAGAATTTCATATCCAGCCAAATTAAGCTTCATAAGCGAAGGAGAAATAAAATCCTGAACAGACAAGCAAATGCTGAGAGATTTTGTCAACACCAGGCCTGCCTTACAAGAGCTCCTGAAGGAAGCACTAAATATGGAAAGGAAAAACCAGTACCAGCCACTGCAAAAACATACCAAATTGTAAAGACCATCGACACTATGAAGAAACTGCAACTAATGGGCAAAATAACCAGCTAGCATCATAATGACAGGATCAAATTCACATATAACAATATTAACCTTAAATGTAAATGGGCTAAATGCCCTAATTAAAAGACACAGACTGGCAAATTGGATAAAGAGTCTAGACCCATCGGTATGATGTATTCAGTACACCCATCTCACATGCAAACAAACACATAGGTTCAAAACAAAGGGATGAAGGAAGATTTACCAAGCAGGGAAAGCAAAAAAAAAAAAAAAAAAAAAAAAAAAGCAGGGGGTGCAATCCTAGTCTCTCATAAAACAGACTTTAAACCAACAAAAAATCAAAAAAGACAAAGAAGGGCATTACATAATGGTAATGGGATCAATGCAACAAGATGAGTTAACTATTATATATATATATATATATATATATATATATATATATATATATATATACACATATATGTACACCCAATACAAGAGCACCCAGATTCATAAAGCGAGTTCTTAGCGACCTACAAAGATACTTAGACTCAGACACAATAGTAGTGGGAGGCTTTAACACCACACTGTCAATATTAGACAGATCAATGAGACAGAAATTTAACAAGGATATCCAGGACTTGAACTCAGCTCTGGACCAAGCAGACCTAATAGACATCTACAGAACTCTCCACCCCAAATCAACAGAAAATACATTCTTCTCAGCACCACATTGCACTTATTCTAAAATTGACCACATAATTGGAAGTAAAACACTCCTCAGCAAATGCAAAAGAATGGAAATCATAACAAACAGTCTCTCAGATCACAATGCAATAAAATTAGAACTCAGGACTAAAAAACTCACTCAAAACCGCACAACTACATGGAAACGGAACAACCTGCTCCTGAATGACTACTGGGTAAGTAACAAGATTAACGCAGAAAAAAATAAGTTCTTTGAAACTAATGAGAACAAAGACACAATGTACCAATATCTCTGGAACACAGCTAAAGCAATGTTTAGAGGGAAATTTATAGCACTAAATTATCACAGGAGAAAGTGGGAAAGATCTAAAATTGACACCCTAACATCATAATTAAAAGAACTAGAGAAGCAAGAGCAAACAAATTGAAAAGCTAGCAGAAGACAAGAAATAACAAAGATCAGAGCAGAACTAAAGGAGATAGAGACACAAAAATCCCTTCAAAAAATTAAGGAATCCAGGAGCTGTTTTTTTTGAAAAGGTTAACAAAATAGGTATACCACTAGCCAGACCAATAAAGAAGAAAAGAAAGAAGAATCAAATAGACACAATAAAAAATGATAAAGGGGATATCACCACTGATCCCACAGAAATACAAACTACCATCAGAGAATACCATAAACACCTCTACCCAAGTAAACCAGACAATCTGGAAAAAAATGGATTAATTCCTGGACACATGCACCCTCCCAAGACTAAACCAGGAAAAAGTCAAATCCCTGAATAGACCAATAACAAGTTCTGAGATTGAGGCAGTAATTAATAGCCTACCAATCAAAAAAACCCAGGACCAGATGAATTCACAGCCAAATTCTACCAGAGATACAAAGAGGAGCTGGTAACATTCCTTCTGAAACTATTCTAAACCAAAGAAAAAGAGGGAGTCCTCCATATCTGATTTTATGAGGCCAGCATCATCCTGATACCAAAACCTGGCAGAGACACAACAAAAAAAGAAAATTTCAGGCCAATATCCCTGATGAACATTGATGCAAAAATCCTCAATAAAATACTGGCAAACTGAATCTAGCAGCACATCTAAAAGCTTATCAAACACAATCAAGATGTCTTGATCCCTGGGATGCAAGGCTGGTTCAACATATGCAAATCAATAAACGTAATCCATCACATAAACAGAACCAATGACAAAAAGCACATGACTATTTCAATAGATGCAGAAAAGGTTTTCCATAAAACTTAACACTCCTTCATTTTAAAAACTCTCAATAAACTAGGTATTCCTCGAACGTAACTCAAAATAATAAGAGCTATTTATGACAAAGCCACAGCCAATATCATACTGGATGGGCAAAAGCTGGAAGCATTCCCTTTGAAAACCAGCACAATACAAAGATGCCCTCTCTCACCACTCCTACTCAAAATAGTTTTGGAAGTTCTGGCCAGGGCAATCAGGCAAGAGAAATAAATAAAGGGTACTCAAATAGGAAGAAAGGAAATCAAATTGTCTCTGTTTGCAGATGACATGATTGTATATTTAGAAAACCCCCTTGGTCTCAGCCCAAAATCTGCTTAAGCTGATAAGCAACTTCAGCAAAGTCTCAGGATACAAAATCAATGTGGAAAAATCACAAGCATTCCTATACTCCAATAGACAAACAGAGACCCAAATTATCAGTGAACTCACATTCACAATTGCTACAAAGAGAACAAAATACCTAGGAAAACAACCTGCGAGGGATGTGAAGCAGCTCTTCAAGAAGAACTACAAACCACTGCTCAAGGAGATAAGGGAGGACACAAAGAAATGGAAAAACATTCCATGGTCATGGATAGGAAGAATCAATATCATAAAAATGGCCATACTGCCCAAAGTAATTTACAGATTCAATGGTATTCCCATCAAGCTACCATTGATTTTCTTCACAGAACTAGAAAAAAAAAGCTACTTTAAATTTCATATGGAATTAAAAAAGAACCTGTATAGCCAAGACAATCCTAAGCAAAAGAACAAAGCTGGAGGTATCATGCTACCTGACTTCCAACTATACTACAAGGCTACAGTAACCAAAATAGCATGGTACAGGTACCAAAACAGATATATAGACCAATGGAACAGAACAGTGGCCTCAGAAATAACTCCACACATCTACAACCATCTGATCTTTGACAAACTTGACAAAAACAAGTAATGGGGAAAGGATTCCCTATTCAATAAACAGTTTTGGGAAAACTGCCTAGCCATATGCAGAAAACTGAAACTGAACCCCTTCCCTACACCCTGTACAAAAATTAACTCAAGATAGATTAAAGACTTAAATGTACGACCTAAAACCATAAAAATCCTACAAGAAAACCTAGGCGATACCATCCAGGACATAGGCATGGGCAAAGACTTCATGACTAAAACACCAAGAGCAATGGCAACAAAATCCAAAATAGACAAATGGGATCTAATTAACTAAAGAGCTACTGCACAGCAAAAGAAACTGTCTTCAGAATGAACAGGCAACCTAGAGAATGGGAGAAAATTTTTGCAATCTATACATCTGACAAAAGGCTAATATCAAGAATCTACAAAGAACTTAAACAAATTTACAAGTAAAAAAACCAAACAACTCCATGAAAAATTGGGCAAAGGATATGAGCAGACACTTCTCAAAAGAAGACATTTATGGGGCCAAAAAACATATCAAAGAAAGCTCCTCATCACTGGTCATTGGAAAAATGCAAATCTAAATCAAAACAAATTTACAAGAAAAAAATAAACCCATCAAAAACTGGGTGAAGGATATGAACAGACACTTCTCAGAAGACATTTATGCGGCCAAGAAACACATGAAAGAAAGCTCATCCTCACTGGTCATTAGAGAAATGCAAATCAAAATCATAATGAGATATCATCTTACGCTGATTAGAATGGTGATCATTAGAAAGTCAGGAAACAAAAGATTCTGGAGAGGATGTGGAGAAATAGGAATGCTTTTACACTGTTGGTGGGAGTGTAAATTAGCTCAACCATTGTGGAAGACACTGTGGCAATTCCTCAATAATCTAGAACCAGAATTACCATTTTACCCAGCAATCCCATTACTGGGTATACACCCGAAGGATTATAAATCATTCTACTATAAAGACACATGCACACATACATTTATTGCAGCACTATTCACAATAGAAAAGACTTGGAAACAACCCAAATGGCATTAGTGATAGACTGGATAAAGAAAATGTGGCACATGTACACCATGGAATACTATGCAGCCATAAGAAAGGATAAGTTCATGTCATTTGCAGGGACATGGATGAAGCTGGAAACCATCATTATCAGCAAAATATCACAGGAACAGAAAAACATACATCGCATGTTCTCACTCATAAGTGGGAGTTGAACAACGAGAATACATGGACACAGGGAGGGGAACATCACACACCAGGGCCATTGGGGGGTGGGTCGCTAGGGGAACGATAGTATTAGGAGAAATATCTAATGTAGATGATGGGTCGATGGGTTCTGCAAACCATCATGGCATGTGTATGCCTATGCATCAAAGCTGCACATTCTGCTCATGTATCCCATAACTTAAAGTACAATAATTAAATAAATAAATAAATCCAGAACAGTAAAAAAAAAAAATAACAATGGTTTGTTCTCTTGGGTTTGAGATAATCCTCACAGAAACACAGATGCAGGACGTAAAAACATGGCCCAGAGATCAATATTAATTTAATGTAGTAAGATAGTAATTCAAAGCATTCCTTTATGGTCTTCCCCACCCCTGAGTCTGTGATCCTTCAATCTATGAGGGTTTTCTCCATTAACCCAAACAGTCTTCAATGCCCACTTCTTGACTTCTAAGCATAACATGGCATACTGGCTCAGATAGAAACTTGAAAAAAAAAGAATATGATCAATGATAGGGTAAATAATTTGGATACAAATTTTCTGTTTCTCTCCTGGCCCTATTCCCATTTTTGGAATATTGTTGGAACTAGTACCTCTAAGTACACATACAGCACTGGCAGTCTATGGTGTCCTGTACCTGTAAAACTTTCAGCTTAGAGATAGAAGGGTACAAAGCAGGAGTCATCCCCTAAGGAATGTAACAAAAGTAGAGGAATGAGTCCTAGCAGTTGTTCCAATTCAACTATCCACAGTCCCCTAGCAGATTTAGAAAGAAACTAGGAGAATGAATATGTGGGCTTAAATTTTGCAGCAAAACTCTTTGCCAAGTCAAAGGGCTCTAATATGAATGTCAAAGTCCCAACTTCACACCTGGAACTAATAACTATTGGGTAGTAGGCTTAGTACCTGGGTGACAAAATAATCTGCACAACAAACCCTCTTGACATGACTTTACCTATATAACAAACCTGCATATGTACCCTTGAAACTAAAGTTTAAATAAAATAAAATTTTAACACTCAGAGACACACATACACACCACCTGAAACTTCCAGTGCCCTTGCATAGAGATGTCTCTTTGTATCCTCAGAGCATTTTCATAAAGGGGAGAGGAGTAGTGGTATAGTGGGAAACACACTTTAGAAAGTGCTCTACTAGGAAGATAGTCCAAATCAGGAGCCTCCAAAAATTTTGATCATATATTCCTATCAGTTAAAAATACTTGAACACTTTGCATGTTTCCTTACTGCCAGAAATGGACCAAGTTCGTATCGAAACACGTAGGTGAATGGCCAGAATTAAGTTGGCAGACTCAAAATAACACTCTCTATGTATAAATGTGTTTAATAGTGATGTTGAGCACTGCATGGGGGAAGATGGAGAAGGACAACTACAAACAACTCTCAACCTCTACCATCACTAATAACTTAGTCCTAGTCCTTAGCCAGCAAATGCTCTTCAGCAGAATAAAAGACCTGCAGCTAACCAGACCCACAATGTCAGATATTAGTGCTCACTAAATATTCAAAGCGTTTTTCTATATTTCTCAACTGCCTTGCTATTAGATTGGGTTGTGTGACCAGTTCTGGCCAATTTATTCAGAATGGGGTTGAAGCATTTATTGCTGGGCTGAGGCAGTTAAGAAACAATATGCCCACTCAATCTTCCCCCTCCTCTTTCCATGATGACCTTGGAGATCACATGTTTCAGATGGTACAGCTATATTATGGCAGAAACCTCATTAGCTCTGGGCCCCTGATTTTGTGAGGAGAACCTTCCCACCTACCACCAATGTTAACCCACATTAGCCATTTAATGTGGGAACAAATATTACAGTGTTAGCATATTCACCATCCTTAGAGGGCAGTTTACATCCATCTGTTGTTATTTAACCTTACCCCTGAAAAAAGTCCTTCTGCTCAAAATACCTCTTTCTTAGCCTATCACATGTATATGACATTAGAGACTCTCCTTAGATACATATTTAATTTAAGGCATTGCATTATGTAGTCCATAATGCATTAATGGAATTCACTTATCTCATTAACCTATAAGCTACTAACGTGTATTTAGGAAACACAGGGACCCTGAGGAAAGCAGAGCTAGAATAAGCAAGATTTGTTGGAAGATTATGTGAATGGAAACCCTAGACAAGGTGTAAGACCTGTAGTGGGTCAGGATAGGACAGCTGGGGGCTGTGGATGCCCTGGGGGCAGTATGAGGAGGAACAGTTATTCAAAATGAGGGCAAGAGCTGGGCTGTACATTGTACATTGGCTGGGGTCCTCATTTCCTTTTTTCCAATTTCTTTCACCTTGACACTGGCTTACTTCCTTTTTAATTTCATAGGTGGCTGCAAGAGCTCTAAGGGAAAGGCTTGGTATGGGTAGGGCTTGGGTCCTCCTTTACATGTCCTAAGAGTCAAGAATTTCACAGTAGAAAAGAGACCACCTTCTCGGGCCATCACAGGGCTATCAAAGTGTAAGTACAATAAGATAGGACCTAGTCTTCTGTCAGGAAGGAAATGGTAAAAATGTCAACCGAAATGTGAACATCTAGGTTTCATTTCTCATTTTAACAAGAAAGAATATTTTCAAAAGCAACACAAAATAGCCTTTGTAGGAATAATCAGAAAGTCTGACATCTATAAATTATCTGATGAGTAGCCAATGATGATAGTGGTGAAGGGTGATTTTTCTATAACAAAGAAGGAGGAGCCAAGATGGCCGAATAGGAACAGCTCCGGTCTACAGCTCCCAGCGTGAGCGAAGCAGAAGATGGGTGATTTCTACATTTCCATCTGAGGTACCGGGTTCATCTCACTAGGGAGTGCCAGACAGTGGGCGCAGGACAGTGGGTGCAGCGCACCGTGTGCCAGCTGAAGCAGGGCGAGGCATTGCCTCACTCGGGAAATGCAAGGAGTCAGGGAGTTCCCTTTTCTGATCAAGGAAAGGGGTGACAGACGGCACCCGGAAAATCGGGCCACTCCCACCCGAACACTGCACTTTTCTGATGGGCTTAGGAAATGGTGCAACAGGAGATTATATCCCGCACCTGGAGACGCCCAAGGAGTCTCACTAATTGCTAGCACAGCAGTCTGAGATCAAACCGCAAGGCGGCAGCGAGGCTGGGGGAGGGGTGCCCCCATTGCCCAGGCTCGCTTAGGTACACAAAGCATCTGGGAAGCTCGAACTGGGTGGAGCCCACCACAGCTCAAGGAGGCCTGCCTGCCTCTGTAGGCTCCACCTCTGGGGGCAGGGCAAAGACAAACAAAAAGACAGCAGTAACCTCTGCAGACTTAAATGTCCCTGTCTGACAGCTTTGAGGAGAGAAGTGGTTCTCCCAGCACGCAGCTGGAGATCTGAGAATGGGCAGACTGCCTCCTCAAGTGGGTCCCCGACCCCTGACCCCCAAGCAGCCTAACTGGGAGGCACCCCGCAGTAGGGGCAGACTGAGAACTCACACGGCCGGGTACTCCTCTGAGACAAAATTTCCACAGGAACGATCAGACAGCAGCATTCGCGGTTCACGAAAATCCGCTGTTCTGCAGA
Organism: Homo sapiens; assembly: GCF_000001405.40. Taxonomy (NCBI): domain Eukaryota; kingdom Metazoa; phylum Chordata; class Mammalia; order Primates; family Hominidae; genus Homo; species Homo sapiens. Next base: position 79,210,989 of record NC_000023.11, on the reverse strand, counting down.
CACTGCTGATGATACCCAGGCAAACAGGGTCTGGAGTGGACCTCTAGAAAACTCCAACAGACCTGCAGCTGAGGTTCCTGTCTGTTAGAAGGAAAACTAACAAACAGAAAGGACACCCACACCAAAAACCCATCTGTACATCACCAACATCAAAGACCAAAAGTAGATAAAACCACAAAGATGGGGGAAAAACAGAGCAGAAAAACTGGAAACTCTAAAAAGCAGAGCACCTCTCCTCCTCCAAAGGAACGCAGTTCCTCACCAGCAACGGAACAAAGCTGGATGGAGAATGACTTTGACGAGTTGAGAGAAGAAGGCTTCAGATGATCAAACAACTCCAAGCTACAGGAGGAAATTCAAACCAAAGCAAAGAAGTTGAAAACTTTGAAAAAAAAATAGATGAATGTATAACTAGAATAACCAATACAGAAAAGTGTTTAAAGGAGCTGATGGAGCTGAAAGCCAAGGCTCAAGAACTACGCAAAGAATGCAGAAGCCTCAGGAGCTGATGCGATCAACTGGAAGAAAGGGTATCAGTGATGGAAGATGAAATGAATGAGATGAAGCAAGAAGGGAAGTTTAGAGAAAAAAGAAAAAAAAGAAATGAACAAAGCCTCCAAGAAATATGGGACTAAGTGTAAAGACCAAATCTACATCTGATTGGTGTACCTGAAAGTGATGGGGAGAATGGAACCAAGTTGGAAAACACTCTGCAGGATAAGGAGAACTTCTCCAATCTAGCAAGGCAGGCCAACATTCAGATTCAAGAAATACAGAGAATGCCACAAAGTTACTCCTCGAGAAGAGCAACTCCAAGACACATAATTGTCAGATTCACCAACGTTGAAATGAAGGAAAAAATGTTAAGGGCAGCCAGAGAGAAAGGTCGGGTTACCCACAAAGGGAAGCCCATCAGACTAACAGCGGATCTCTCGGCAGAAACTCTACAAGCCAGAAAAGAGTGGGGGCCAATATTCAACATTCTTAAGGAAAAGAATTTTGAAGCCAGAATTTCATATCCAGCCAAACTAAGCTTCATAAGTGAAGGAGAAATAAAATACTTTACAGACAAGCAAATGCTGAGAGATTTTGTCACCACCAGGCCTGCCCTACAAGAGCTCCTGAAGGAAGCACTAAACATGGAAAGGCACAACTGGTACCAGCCACTGCAAAATCATGCCAAAATTTAAAGACCATCGAGACTAGGAAGAAACTGCATCAACTAACGAGCAAAATCACCAGCTAACATCATAATGACAGGATCAAATTCACACATAACAATATTAACTTTAAATGTAAATGGACTAAATGCTCCAATTAAAAGACATAGACTGGCAAATTGGATAAAGAGTCAAGACCCATCAGTGTGCTGTATTCAGGAAACCCATCTCATGTGCAGAGAAACACATAGGCTCAAAATAAAAGGATGGAGGAAGATCTACCAAGCAAATAGAAAACAAAAAAAGGCAGGGGTTGCAATCCTAGTCTCTGATAAAACAGACTTTAAACCAACAAAGATCAAAAGAGACAAAGAGGCCATTACATAATGGTAAAGGGATCAATTCAACAAGAAGAGCTAACTATCCTAAATATATATGCACCCAATACAGGAGCACCCAGATTCATAAAGCAAGTCCTGAGTGACCTACAAAGAGACTTAGACTCCCACACAATAATAATGGGAGACTTTAACACCCCACTGTCAACATTAGACAGATCAATGAGACAGAAAGTTAACAAGGATACCCAGGAATTGAACTCAGCTCTGCACCAAGTGGACCTAATACACATCTACAGAACTCTCCACCCAAAATCAACAGAATATACATTTTTTCAGCACCACACCACACCTATTCCAAAATTGACCACAGAGTTGGAAGCTCTCCTCAGCAAATGTAAAAGAACAGAAATTATAACAAACTGTCTCTCAGACCACAGTGCAATCAAACTAGAACTCAGGATTAAGAAACTCACTCAAAACCACTCAACTACATGGAAACTGAACAACCTGCTCCTGAATGACTACTGGGTACATAACAAAATGAAGGCAGAAATAAAGATGTTCTTTGAAACCAATGAGAAAAAAGACACAACACACCAGAATCTCTGTGACGCATTCAAAGCACTGTGTAGAGGGAAATTTCTAGCACTAAATGCCCACAAGAGAAAGCAGGAAAGATCCAAAATTGACACTCTAACATCACAATTAAAAGAACTAGAAAAGCAAGAGCAAACACATTCAAAAGCTAGCAGAAGGCAAGAAATAACTAAAATCAGAGCAGAACTGAAGGAAATAGAGACAAAAAAACCCTTTGAAAAAATTAATGAATCCAGGAGCTGGTTTTTTGAAAGGATCAACAAAATTGATAGACCGCTAGCAAGTCTAATAAAGAAAAAAAGAGAGAAGAATCAAATAGATGTAATAAAAAATGATAAAGGGGATATCACCACCAATCCCACAGAAATACAAATAACCATCAGAGAATACTACAAACCCCTCTATGCAAATAAACTAGAAAATCTAGAAGAAATGGATAAATTCCTGGACACATAAACTCTCCCAAGACTAAACCAGGAAGAAGTTGAATCTCTGAATAGACCAATAACAGGAGCTGAAATTGTGGCAATAATCAATAGCTTACCAACCAAAAAGAGTCCAGGACCAGATGGATTCACAGCTGAATTCTACCAGAGGTACAAGGAGGAACTCGTACCATTCCTTCTGAAACTATTCCAATCAATAGAAAAAGAGGGAATCCTCCCTAACTCATTTTATGAGGCCAGCATCATCCTGATACCAAAGCCTGGGAGAGACACAACCAAAAAAGAGAATTTTAGACCAATATCCTTGATGAACATGGATGCAAAAATCCTCAATAAAATACTGGCAAACCGAATCCAGCAGCACATCAAAAAGCTTATCCACCATGATCAAGTGGGCTTCATCCCTGGGATGCAAGGCTGGTTCAATATACGCAAATCAATAAATGTAATCCAGCATATAAACAGAACCAAAGACAAAAACCACATGATTATCTCAATAGATGCAGAAAAGGCCCTTGACAAAATTCAACAACTCTTCATGCTAAAAACTCTCAATAAATTAGGTATTGATGGGACATATCTCAAAATAATAAGAGCTATCTATGACAAACCCACAGCCAATATCATACTGAATGGGCAAAAACTGGAAGCATTCACTTTTAAAACTGGCACAAGACAGGGATGCCCTTTCTCACCACTCCTATTCAACATAGTGTTGGAAGTTCTGGCCAGGGCAATTAGGCCGGAGAAGGAAATAAAAGGTATTCAATTAGGAAAAGAGGAAGTCAAATTGTCCCTGTTTGCAGATGACATGATTGTATATGTAGAAAACCCCATTGTCTCAGCCCAAAATCTCCTTAAGCTGATAAGCAACTTCAGCAAAGTCTCAGGATACAAAATCAATGTACAAAAATCACAAGCATTCTTATAGACCAATAACAGACAAACAGAGAGCCAAATCATGAGTGAATTCCCATTCACAATTGCTTCAAAGAGAATAAAATACTTAAGAATCCAACTTACAAGGGATGTGAAGGACCTCTTCAAGGAGAACTAGAAATCACTCCTCAAGGAAATAAAAGAGGATACAAACAAAAGGAAGAACATTCCATGCTCGTGGGCAGGAAGAATCAATATCGTGAAAATGGCCATACTGCCCAAGGGAATTTATAGATTCAATGCCATCCCCATCAAGCTACCAATGACTTTCTTCACAGAACTGGAAAAAACTACTTTAAAGTTCATATGGAACCAAAAAAGAGCCCGCATCGCCAAGTCAATCCTAAGCCAAAAGAACAAAGCTGGAGTCATCACGCTACCTGACTTCAAACTATACTACAAGGCTACAGTAACCAAAAGAGCATGGTACTGGTACCAAAACAGAGATATAGATCATTGGAACAGAACGGAGCCCTCAGAAATAATGCCACATATCTACAACTATCTGATCTTTGACAAACCTGACAAAAACAAGCAATGGGGAAAGGATTCCCTATTTAATAAATGATGCTGGGAAAACTGGCTAGCCATATGTAGGAAGCTGAAACTGGATCCCTTCCTTACATCTTATACAAAAATTAATTCAAGATGGATTAAAGACTTAAACATTAAACCTAAAACTATAAAAACCCTAGAAGAAAACCTAGGCATTACCATTCAGGGCATTGGCATGGGCAAGGACTTCATTTCTAAAACACCAAAAGCAATGGCAACAAAAGCCAAAATTGACAAATGAGATCTAATTAAACTAAAGAGCTTCTGCACAGCAAAAGAAACTACCATCAGAGTGAACAGGCAACCTACAGAATGGGAGAAAATTTTCACAACCTACTCATCTGAAAAAGGGCTAATATCCAGAATCTGCAATGAACTCAAACATATTTACAAGAAAAAACCCCATCAAAAAGTGGGTGAAGGACATGAAGAGACACTTCTCAAAAGAAGACATTTATGCAGCCAAAAAACACATGAAAAAATGCTCACCATCACTGACCATCAGAGAAATGCAAATCAAAACCACAATGAGATATCATCTCACACCAGTTAGAATGGCAATCATTAAAATGTCAGGAAACAACAGGTGCTGGAGAGGATGCGGAGAAATAGAAACACTTTTACACTGTTGATGGGACTGTAAACTAGTTCAACCATTGTGGAAGTCATTGTGGTGATTCCTCAGGGATCTAGAACTAGAAATACCATTTGACCCAGCCATCCCATTACTGGGTATATACCCAAATGACTATAAATCATGCTGCTATAAAGACACATGCACACGTATGTTTATTGCGGCACTATTCACAATAGCAAAGACTTGGAACCAACCCAAATGTCCAACAATAATAGACTGGATTAAGAAAATGTGGCACATATACACCATGGAATACTATGCAGCCATAAAAAATGATGAGTTCATGTCCTTTGTAGGGACATGGATAAAATTGGAAATCATCATTCTCAGTAAACTATCACAAGAACAAAAAACCCAACATCACATATTCTCACTCATAGGTGGGAACTGAACAATGAGAACACATGGACACAGGAAGGGGAACATCACACTCTGGGGACTGTTGTGGGGTGGGGAGAGGGGGGAGGGATAGCATTGGGAGATATACCTAATGCTAGATGACGAGTTAATGGGTGCAGCGCACCAGCATGGCACATGTATACATATGTAACTAACCTGCACATTGTGCACATGTACCCTAAAACTTAAAGTATAATAATAAATAAATATATAAATAAATAAATAAAGTAAACTGGATTTAGATTCTAAAACTTGCTTTAGGCAAATTTCTACCTCTAATTTACCATGATAGTGGGAACTGCTATTTTAATGTAAAGGATTATAAACTCCTTAGCCACACATTTATAAGTTTTTTTTTTTTTCGGTGGGCTACTTTCAATTATGGCTTGCTTCATTAACTGATGTGATGGTTTATTCAACCAAAAAGTAACAATTTCTGACCATCTCCTCAAATTCTGAAAACAAACCTGTTGAGAGTGTCAGGGCCAGTATCTCTCACGTAGTGACTACACAGCAGGCGGTGAAAAGTATGATATTATTTGGTTGGAGGTGATATGAGAGAAATAAACATAATTAAAAATAAGCACTGTTTAACAGGAAGCAGAAAATGTCCAATAAAGTGAATTACAAGCTATATTCTGCCCATGGAAGCAGACTTGGGCAGTTTCCTTGGAGAAAACCAGGAAGATTTCAACAAGGAAGGTCATTGAATGACAAGTCTTCTGTGGCATCATCTGAGCCTTGAACAAAGTCTAACTTCCCATGCAAACTGCCAGTAAATGAGATAGGATATGGGCAGAACACAATCTGACCAGTACCAAATCCTTGGGCAGCATTATATGACAAGAGCTGTGTTGTCTTGCATAGTAAAATGAAAGCCCTGGGTTTTCTAAAAGCTGTCCTCATGATTGCCAAAACAAGTTAGTGTAAGAAGAAAATTCTTTTCTGTATCTGGTGGAAATGGGCAGAGTATCTATCTATAGTAGGCCTGTCTGATGGCTTTCTGATAAAACTGAGACATAAAAACTTAATAAATTTATTAACACTTGTATATTTGAACATACTCAAAAGGAGAATCCAAGAATAGAGAATCTCATTTTTAGTTGCCACAGAATGACTTTGAATTAGACATTCTTTACAAATTTTTTTATTTTAATTTTTGTGAGTACATAATAGGTGTATATATCTATGGGGTTTATGAAATGTTTTGATGCAGGCATTTAATGTGTAATACCACAACATAGAGAATGGGATATCCATCTCTTCAATGATTTATCCTTAGTGTTACAGATAATCCAATTATACTCTTAGTTATTTTATTTTATATTACTTTTTCAATTTTTATTTTTAATATTTGTGTGTACATAGTAGGTGTATATATCTATGGGGCACATAAAATGTTTTGATGCAGACATGTAATGCAGAATAATCAAGTCATGGAGATTTGGGTATTCATCCCCTCAAATATTTATCTTTGGTGTTACAAAAAGTAAATGTTTCTATCCATTAACCATGCCCATCAACTTCCCACTATCCTTCTCAGCTTTTGGTAACCATTCTTCTACTCTTAACCTCATGAGTGTGTTTTAATTTTTAGCCCAAATAAATGAGTACATGCGAAGTGTGCCTTTCTGTGTCTGACTTATTTCACTTAAAATAATGAGCTCTGATTTCATCCATGCTGTTGCAAATGACAGGATCTCATGATTTATTGTGGATAAATAGAACTCCAGTGTGTATATGTACCACATTTTCTTTATCCATTTGTGTCTTGATGAACATTGGTTGCTTTCAAATCTTGGATACTCTGAACAGTGATGCAACAAACATGGGAGTACAGATATTTCTTCGATACACTGATTTTCTTTTTTGTGGGTATATACCCAGCTCTATTTTTTTATTTTTGAGGAACTTACAGACTCTTCTCCATGGTGGTTGTAATAATTTACATTCTCACCAACTGTATACAAAAGTTCTCTTTACTCCACATCCTCATCAGCATTTGTTATTCCCTGTCTTTTGGATATATGCCACTTTAACTAGAGTGAGATGATATCTCATTGTATTTTTGATTTGCATTTATCAGATGATCAATGATGTTGAGTACCTTTTTATATGCCTGTTTGCCATTAGTATATCGTCTTTTGAGAAATGTCTATTTAAATATTTTATCCATTTTAGTTGGATTATTAGATTTTTTTCTATAGTGTTGTTTGAACTCTTATAGTCTGCTTATTAACGCCTCATCAGAGGGTAGTTTGTCAATGTTTTTATCATTCTTTTGGTTGACTCTACTTTGTTGAGTGTTTTTCTTGCTGTCTGGAAGCTTTTTAACTTACAAGAATCTCATTTGTCTATTTTTGCTTTTGTTGCCTGTAATTGTGGGGCATTACTCAAAACTCTTTGCCCAGACCAATATCCAGGAGATTTTCCCCATTGTTTTCTTGTAGTAATTCCCTAGTTTGACATCTTCCTCTGTGATTTGATTTTTTATGGCAAGAGAGAGGGGTTTACTTTCATTCTTCTGAATATGGATATCCAGTTTACCCAGCACCATTTATTGAAGACACTGTCTATTCCCCAGTGTATGTTCTTGGCACCTTTGGTAAAAATGAGTTCACTGTATGTGTGTAGATTTGTTTTGGGGTTCTCTATTCTATTCCATTGGTCTATGTGTTTTTATGCCAGTACCTTGCTGTTTAGGCTACTATGGTTCTGCAGTATAATCTGAAGTCAGGTATTGTGATTCCTCTAATTTTGTTCTTTTTGCTTATGATAGCTTTGGCTATTCTGGGTCTTTTGTGGTTCCATAGAAATTATAGGATTTTTAGTTTCCATTTTTGTGAAGAATGTTATTGGTATTTTGATGGGTCTTGAATTGAATCCGTAGATTGCTTTGGGTAATATGGGCATTTTAATAACATCAATTTTTCCAAACCATGAACATGAAATATATTTTCTTTTTTTGTGTCCTCTTCAATTTATTTCATTATGGTTTTGTAGTTTTTATTATGAAGACATTTCATTTCTTTGGTTAATTCCTGTGTTTTAATTTTTGTGGTTACTTCATAAATGGAATTACTTTTTTTTCATCTTTTTCAGATTGCCCACTGTTGGCATATAGAAATGCTGCTGATGTGTGTATGCTGATTTTGTATCCTGCAACTTTACTAAATTTTTTAGTTCAAATATTTCTTTTTAGTGGAGTCTTCAGCTTTTTCTAACATAAGATTTTATCATCTGAAAACAAGCATAATTTTACTTCTTCCTCTCCAATTTGGATGCCCTTTATTTTGTTCTCTTGTCTGATTGCTCTTGCTGGGATTTCCAGTACTGTGTTGATAAACAGCGGTAAAAGTGGGTATCCTTGTCTGTTTTCAGATCTTAGAGAAAAGTTTTCCATTTTTTCCCCATTCAGTATGGTACTAGTTGTGGGTCTGTCATATATGGCTTTTATTATGTTGAGGTATGTTCCTTCTATCACCAGCTTTTTTAAGGTTTTTATCATGAATGATGTTAAGTTTTATAAAATGCTCTTTAGGATCAGTTGAAGTCATCATATGGTTTTTGTCCTTCTTTCTGTTGATGTGATGTATCACACTGATTGATTCGCATATGTCGAACCACCACTGCATCCTAGACATAAATCCCAGTTGAACATGATGAATAATCTTTCTAATGTATTGTTGAATTCAGTTTGCAAGTATTTTGTTGAGGATTTTATTCATCAGAGATGTTTACCTGTAGTTTTATTTTTTTCAATGTGTCTTTGTTTAGATTTGGTATCAGGGTAATTCTGGTCTCATAGAATGAATTTTGGACTATTTCCTCCAGTATTGTTCAGAAAAGTTTGAGTAGGATTGGTATGAGTACTTCTTTAAATGTTTGGTAGAATTCAGCAGTGAAGCCATCAGATTCCTCTCATTACTGGGAGACGTCTCATTATGGCTTCAACCTCATTATTAGTTATTAGTGTGCTCAGGTTTTGGATTTCTTATTGGTTCAATTTTGGTAGATTGTATGTGTCTAGGAATTTATCCATTTCTTCTAGATTTTCCAATGTATTGGAAAATAGTTACTCATAGTAGTAATGATCTTTTGCATTTCTGCAGTATTAAATGTAATGTTTCCTTTTTCATCTGTGATTTTACTTATTCATATACTTTCTATTTTTTTCTTAGTTCATCTGGATAAAGGTCTGTCAATTTTATTTAACATTTCAAGAAACAGTTTTTTTGTTCTGTTGATTTTTGTATTGTTTTCATTTCTTTTTCATTTATTTCTGCTCTGATCTTTATGATTTTTTTCTACTAATTTGGCATTTGGCTTGCTATTCTTTTTCTACTTCTTTAAGATGCATTAACAGGTTGTTTATTTGAATATTTTATGTAGGCACTCATATCTATAAACTTCTCTCTTAGTACTGCTTTTGCTGTATTTGATATGTTTTGATAGTTGTTTCCATTATTACTTGCTTCAATTAATTTTTTTATTATACTTGAAGTTCTGGGATACATGTGCAGAACATGCAGGTTTGTTACATAGGTATACATGTGCCATGGTGGCTTGCTGCACCCATCAACCCATCATCTACATTAGGTATTTCTCCTAATGCTATCCCTCCCCTAGCCCCCAACCCCTAACAGGCCCCGGTATGTGATGTTCCCCTCCATATGTCCATGTGTTCTCTTTTTTTCAACTCCCACTTATGAGTGAGAACATGTGGGGTTTGGTTTTCTGTTCCTGTGTTACTTTGCTGAGAATGATGGTTTCCAGCTTCATCCATGTCCCTGCAAAGACATGAAGTTATCCTTTTTATGGCTGCATAGTATTCGATGGTGTATATGTGCCACATTCTCTTTCCAGTCTATCACTGATGAGCATTTGGGTTGGTTCCAAGTCTTTGTTATTGTGAACAGCTCTGCAATAAACATACATGTGCATGTGTCTTCAAAGTAGAATAATTTATAATCCTTGGGTGTATAAAGAAATTATACACCGTTAATTTCTGTTAAAGAAATTACTGAGTCAAATGGTAATTCCTAGAGGAATCGCTACACTGTCTTTCACAATGGTTGAGCTAATTTACACTCCCACCAACAGTGTAAAAGTGTTCCTATTTCTCCACATCCTCTTCAGCATCTGTTGTTTCCTGAGTTTTTAATGATCATCATTGTAACTGGCTTGAGATGGTATCTCATTGTGGATTTGATTTGCATTTCTCTAATGAACAGTGATGAAGAGCATTTCTTCATATGTTTATTGGCTGCATAAATGTCTTCTTTTGAAAAGTATCTGTTCATATCCTTTGCCCACTTTTTGAAGGGGTTGTTTCATGTAAATATGTTTAAATTCCTTGTAGATTCTGGGTATTAGCCCTTTGTCAGATGGATAGATTGCAAAAATTTTCTCCCATTCTGTAAGTTGCCTGTTCACTCTGATAGTCTTTTTTTTTTTTTTTTTTTTTTTTTTTTTTTTTTTTTTTTTTTTTTTTTTTTTTTTTTTTTTTTTTTTGCTGTGCAGAAGCTCTTTAGTTTAATTAGATCCCATTGGTCAATTTTGACTTTTGTTGTCATTGCTTTTTGGTGTTTTAGTCATGAAGACTTTGCCCGTGCCTATGTCTTAGATGGTATTGCCTAGGTTTTCTTCTAGGGTTTTTATGGTTTTAAGTTTTATGTTTAAGTCTTTAATCTATCTTGAGTTAATTTTTGTATAACATGTAAGGCAGGGGTCAAGTTTCAGTTTTCTGCATATGGCTAACCAGTTTTCCCAACACCAGTTATTAAATAAGAAATCCTTTCTCCATTACTTGTTTTTGTCAGGTTTGTCAAAGATCAGATGGTTATAGATGTGTGGTGTTATTTCTGAGGCCACTGTTCTGCTCCATTTGTCTACATATCTGTTTATTTTGGTACCAGTAGCATTCTGTTTTGGTTACTGTAGCCTTGTAGTATAGTTTGAAGTCAGGTAGCGTGATGCCTCCAGCTTTGTCCTTTGTGCTTAGGATTGTCTTGGCTATATGGGCTCTTTTTTGGTTCCATATGAAATTTAAAGTAGTTTTTTCTAATTCTGTGAAGAATGTCAATGGTAGCTTCATGGGGATAGCATTGAATCTATAAATTACTTTAGGCAGTGTGGCCATTTTCACAATATTGATTCTTCCTATCAAGGAGCATGGAATGTTTATTCATTTGTTTGTGTCCTCCCTTATTTCCGTGAGCAGTGGTTTGTAGTTCTACTTAAAGAGGTCCTTCACATCTCTTGTAAATTGTATTCCTAGGAATTTTCTTTCCTTTGTAGTAATTGTGAATGGGAGTTCACTCATAATTTGGATCTCTGTTTGTCTATTATTGGTGTATAGGAATGCTTGTGATGGTTGCACATTGATTTTGTATCCTGAGACTTTGCTGAAGTTGCTTATCAGCTTAAGGAGATTTTGGGCTGAGACCAAGGGGTTTTCTAAATATACAATCAAGTCATCTGCAAACAGAGACAATTTGACTTCCTTTCTTCCTATTGGAATACCGTTTATTTCTTTCACTTGCCTGATTGCCATGCCCAGAACTTCCAATACTACGTTGAATAGGAGTGGAGAGAGAGGGCAGCCTTATCTTGTGCCCGTTTTCAAAGGGAATGCTTCCAGTTTTTGCCCATTCAGTATGATATTGGCTCTGGGTTTGTCATAAATAGCTGACATGATTTTGAGAAACATTCCATCAATACCTAGTTTATTGAGAGTTTTTAGCATGAAAGGGTGTTGAATTTTATGGAAGGCCTTTTTCAGCATCTATTGAGATAATCGTGTGGTTTTTGTCATTGATTCTGTTTATGTGATGGATTACGTTTATTGATTTGCATATGTTGATCCAGACTTGCATCCCAGGGATGAAGCCAATTTGATCGTGGTAGATAAGCTTTCTTGATCTGCTGCTGCATTCGGTTTGCCAGAATTTTATTGGGGATTTTTGTATCGATGTTTATGAGGGATTTGGGCCTGAAATTTTTGTTTTGTTGTGTCTCTGCCAGATTTTTTTTAATCAGGATCATGCTGGCCTCATAAAATGAGTTAGGGAGGAGTCCTTCCTTTTCAATTGTTTGGAATTGTTTCAGAAGTCATGTTAGCAGCTCCTCTTTGTACCTCTGGTGGAATTCATCTGTGAATTCTTCTGGTCCTGGGCTTTTTGTGGTTTGTAGGCTATTAATTACTGCCTCAATTTCAGAACTTGTTATTGGTCTATTCAGGAATTTGACTTCTTCCTGGTTTAGTCTTAGGAGGGTGCATGTGTCCAGGAATTAATCCATTTTTTCTAAATTTTCTGGTTTATTTGCATAGAGGTGTTTATAGTATTCTCTGATGGTAGTTTGTATGTCTGTGGGATCAGTGATGATATCTCCTTTATCATTTTTTATTGTGTCTATTTGATTCTTCTCTCTTTTCTTCTTTATCAGTCTGGATAGTGGTATACCTATTTGTTAATCTTTTCAAAAAACCAGCTCCTGGATTAATTGAATTTTTGAAGTATTTTTCATGTCTCTATCTCCTTCAGTTCTGCTCTGATCTTAGTTATTTCTTGTCTTCTGCTAGCTTTTGAATTTGTTTGCTTTTGCTTCTCTAGTTTTTTTAATTATGATGTTAGTGTATCAATTTTAGATCTTTCCCACTTTCTCCTGTGGTCATTTAGTGATATAAATTTCCCTCAAAACACTGCTTTAGCTGTGTCCCAGAGATTCTGGTACATTGTGTCTTTGTTCTCATTAGTTTCAATGAACTTATTTTTTTCTGCGCTAATTTTGTAATTTACTCAATAATCATTCAGGAGCAGGTTGTTCAGTTTCCATGTAGTTGTGCAGTTTTGAGTTAGTTTCTTAATCCTGAGTTCTAATTTGATTGCACTGTGGTCAAAAAACTTATGATTTCTGTTCTTTTGCATTTGCTGAGAAGTGTTTTACTTCCAATTGTGTGGTCAGTTTTAGAAAAAGTGTGACGTGGTGCTGAGAAGAATGTATATTCTGTTTATTTGAGGTGAAGAGTTCTGTAGATGTCTATTTGTTGCACTTGGTCCAGAGCTGAGTTCAAGTCCCGAATATCCTTGTTAATTTTCTGTCTCGTTGATCTGTCTAATATTGACAGTGGGGTGTTATAGCCTCCCACTATTATAGTGTGGGGGTCTAAGGCTCCTTGTAGGTCTCTAAGAACTTGCTTTATGAATCTGGGTGCTCCTGTACTGAGTGCATATATATTTAGGATAGTTAGATTTTCTTGTTTCATTGATCCTGTTACCATTATGTAATGCCCTTCTTTGTTGTTTATATATGTATGTGTTGGTTTAAAGTCTGTTTTATCAGAGACTAGTTTTGAAACCATGCTTTTTTTATGCTTTCCATTTGCTTGGTAAATCTTCCTCCATCCCTTTATTTTGAGCCTATATGTGTCTTTGCACGTGAGATGGGTCTTCTGAATACAGCACACTGATGAGTCATTTAAGATTAATCTTGCTATGTGTGAATTTGATCCTGTCATTATGGTGCTAGCTGGTTATTTTGCCCATTAGTTGATGCAGTTTCTTCATAGTGTCGATGGTCTTTACAATTTGGTATGTTTTTGCATTGTCTGTTACTGGTTTTTCCTTTCCATATTTAGTGCTTCTTTCAGGAGCTCTTGTAAGGCAGGAATGGTTTTGACAAAATATTTCATCATTTGATTGTCTGTAAAGGATTTTATTTCTCCTTTGCCTATGAAGCTTAGTTTGGCTGGATCTAAAATTCTGGGTTGAAAATTATTTTCTTTAAGAATGTTGAATATTGGCTTTCACTCTCTTCTGGCTTTTAGGGGTTCTGCAGAGAGTTCCACTGCTAGTCTGATGGGCTTCCCTTTGTGGGTAACCCTACCTTTCTCTCTGGCTGCCCTTAACACTTTTTTCTACCTTTCAACCTTGGTGAATCTGACAATTACGTGTCTTGAGGTTGCTCTTCTTGATGCGTATCTTTATGGTTTCTCTGTGTTTCCTGAATTTGAATGTCGGCCTGTCTTGCTAGTTTGGGGAAATTCTCCTGGATAATATCCTGAAGGGTGTTTTCCATCTTGGTTCCATTCTTCCCATCAATTTCATGTACACCAGTCAAATGTAGGTTTTGTCTTTTCACATAGTCCCATATTTCTTGGAGGCTTTGTTTGTTCCTTTTTATTGTTTTATTCCTACTCTTGTCTTCACACTTTATTTCACTAAATTGATCTTCATCTCTGATATCCTTTTTCCGCTTGACATATTCTGCTGTTGATATTTTTGTATGCTTTACGAAATTCTCGTGCTGTGTTTTTCAGCTCCATCAGGTCACTTATGTTTTTCTCTGGGAATGTCTATTTCCTCTTCATGTTTGAAGGATATTATTGCTGGATATATTATTTTAGGGTAAAAGTGTTTTTTTAGTTTGATTTTTTTTCCTCCTCCAGCAGTTTAAATATATCATGCCACTCTCTTCTGGTCTGTAAGGTTGTCACTGAAAAGTCTGTTGTCAGGTGTATTAAAGCTTCCTTGTACAGTATTCGTTTCTTTTATCTTGCTACTTTTAGGATGCTTTCTTTACCCTTGGTCTTTGGGCATTTGATTATTAAACACCTTGAGGTAGTCTTCCTTGAGTTAAATTTGTTTGGTGTCTTATGACCTTCTTGTACTTGGATATTGATATCATTCTCTAAATTTATGAAGTTCTCTGTTATTATCTCTTTGAATAAACTTTCTACCCCTATGTCTTTCTCTATGTCCTCTTTAAGGCCAATTACTCTTAGTTTTGCTCCTTTGAGTCTGTTTTCTAGATCCTGTATGCATGCTTTATTGTTTCTTTTTTTGGTGTTTTCTGACTTTGTATGTTCAAATAGCCTGTCTTCAAGCTCATTAATTATTTCTTCTGATGATTGATTCTGTTATTGAAAGGCTGATGCATTCTTCAGTATGCTAATAGCATTTTTCAGCTCCAGAATTTGTTTGATTCTTTTAAATTATTTGAATAACTTTGTTAATTTTATCTGACAGAATTCTGAATTCTTTCTTTGATTTTATCTTGAATTCATTTGAATTTTCTTTTCTACAAGACAGTTATTTCCAATTCTCTCCTGGAAAGGTCACATATCTCTGTTTCTGCAGGATTAGTTCCTGCTGGTTTATTTAGTTCATTTGGTGACATCATCTACGTCTGGACATTGAAGAATTAGGTATTTATTGTAGACTTCAGTCTGGGCTTGTTTTTACTCATCCTTTTTGGGAAGGCTTCCCAGATACCCATAAGGACTCGGATATTGTGATCTGAGCTGTATCTGCTTTACAGGGCATGCCAAGCCCAGTAGCGCTGTGGTTCCTGCAGGCTCATAGAGTTACTACCTTGATAGTCTTGGACAATATCTGAGAGACTTCTCTGGATTAACAGGTGAAAACATTTGTTTTTGTCCCTTAATTTCTCCCAAACACTCTCTGCTATGAGCCACCTGAAGTTGGACTGGAGTGACACAAGGAGCCCTGTGGCCACTAGGGCTGTGCTCGGTCAGACCTGTAGCTAGCACAGTACTGTATTTTATTTATGGTCTGCTGTAATCACTCCCTGTCCAATGAGTATATTCAATCAAAGCCATGAGGCTCTACAATCAATAGGTGGCAATGCAAGCCAGGCCTGTTTTCCCTTCAGGGTGGTGAGATCCCCCAGTCCCTGAGCAGTCCAGAGGTGCTGCCTCAGAGTCAGTGACTAGATTCAATAATCTTAGAAGCCTACCTCGTATTCTGTTGTACTGCAGATGAGCTGGGACTCAAACCACTAGATACAGTCTTTCTTACTCTTTCCTCCCCATTTCAAAGGCAGAGGAACCTCACTCTACGGCCACTACCACCACAGGTACATGTAGAGTACTTCCAGGCTACAGTTAATGTCCCCTTAAGACCCAAGAGCTCTTAAGTCAGCTTTTGGTGAATGCTGCCTGACCTGGGACTTATATTCTTCAGTGCAGTGGGCTCTCCTTTGGCCCAGGGCAGGTCCACAAATGCCATCCAAGAGCCACGTCCTGAAATCAGGAACCCCAAGAGCCCACTTAGTGGTGCTTTATTTCTCTGTGGCTATGCTGGTACCTAAGGCTTGACAAAGTCCTCTTTACTTTTTCCTCTGATTTCTCAAGCAAAATGAGTCTCGTCCCACAGCCACTACAGGTGGGAATGTGCTGAATCTCACTTAAGGCCAGCAAGCCTCAGACTCTCACCCAAAGCCATCAATATATTACCTGAGTATTTCTGTTGGTTAGTCAGGGCCCAAGAACTCTTCACTTAGCAGATGATGAATACTGTTAGAACTGGGTATTTCCCTTCAAGTCTAAGGGAATGGGAGCAGTATAATATTACAGTTTTTGTACACATTTAGAGTTAAATTTGTGCAAATTAAAAAATAAATTGTTAAGACTCTACAATGTTAAGTACAATCTCCATGGTAACTTCTAAGGAAATATCAATAAAATATATACAAAAAAAAGAAGAGAATCAAAACATGGTACTTAATTTAGAAACTGCTAAAAACAAAGGAAGGCAATAATGGAATTAGTGAGAATCAGGAAAAAATAACAAAATGGCAAGTATAAGTTCTTCTTTATTAGCAATTTATTTAAATATAAATGGATTACCTTTTCTAATCAAAAGGCATATATTAGATAAATGTGAAAATAAACACCATCCAACTATATGCTGTTTATAAGAGACTCACTTTAGATCTAAGAATTTATTATAGGTTGATTAAAAAATGATGAATTTAAATTTCTCTAATGAACAGTGATGATGAACTTTTTTTATATGTTTTTTGGCCACATAAATGTCTTCTTTTGAGAAGTGTCTGTTCATATCCTTTGCCCACTTTTTGATGGGGTTGTTTGTTTATTTCTCGTGAGTTTTTTAAGTTCCTTGTAGACTCTGGATGCTGGACCTTTGTTGGATGGGTATATTGCAAAAATTTTCTCCCATTCTGTAGGCTGCCAGTTCACTCTGATGCTAGTTTTTTTGCTGTGCAGAAGCTCTTTAGTTTAATTAGTTCCCATTTGTCAATTTTAGCTTTTGTTGCAATCTCTTTTGGTGTTTTCATCATGAAGTCTTTGCCCATGCCTATGTCTTGAATGGTATTGCCTAGGTTTTCTTCTAGGGTTTTTATGGTTTCACATTTTACATTTAAGTCTTTAAACCATAGTGAGTTAATTTTTGTATAAGGTGTAAGGAAGGGGTCTAGTTTCAGTTTTCTGAGTATGGCTACCATCTCACACCACACTCAAAATTGCAATTATTAAAAAGTCAGGAAACAGGGCTGGGCACAGTGGCTCATGCCTGTAATTCACTTTGGTGGGGCGAGATGGGCAAATTACCTGAGGTCAGGAGTTTGAGACCAGCATGGTGAAACCCTGTCTCTACTAAAAATATAAAAAATTAGCCAGAAGTGGTGGTGCATGTCTGTAGTCCCAGCTACTTGGGAGGCAGAGGCAAGAGTATTGCTTGAACCTGGGAGGTGGAGGTTGCAGTGAACCAAGATTGCGCCACTGCACTTGAGCCTGGGCAGCAGAATGAGACTCCTTCTCAAAAAAAAAAAAAAATTTACCCAGCAATCCCATTACTGGGTATATACCCAAAGTATTATAAATCATTCTGCTATAAAGACATATGCACACATATGTTTATTGCAGCACTATTTACAACTGTGGTACGTATACACCATGGAATATTATGCAGCCATAAAAAAGAATGAGATCATGTCCTTTGCAGGGACATAGATGAAGCTGGAAGCCATCATCCTCAGCAAACTAACACGGAAACAGAAAACCAAACAATGCATGTTCTCACTCATAAGTGGGAGTTGAACAGTGAGACTACATGGACACAGGGAGGGGAACAACACACATGGGGGCCTGTTGTGGTCTGGGAGGCAAGGAGAGGGTGAGCTTTAGGACAAATACCTAATGCATCTGGAGCTTAAAACCTAGATGGTGGGTTGATAAGAGCAGCAAACCACCATGGCACATGTATACCTATGTAACAAACCTGCACATTCTGCACATGTATCCTAGAATTTAAGTAAAATTAAAAATAAATAAATAAATAAATATGTTAAAATAAATAAATAAAGATGAAAAAAGGTATTCCACAGAAAGTATAAAGTGAGCTGCTGTGGCTATACCAATATTAGTAAAAAATAGACTTTAAGTCACAGTTACAAGAGAGAAAGAAGAACATTGTATATTAATAAAAGGTCAATTTACCAACAGATATAATAATTATGAACAAATATGCACCAAACATCAGAATTCTGAAATATATAAAGCAAACTTTGACAAAATTGAGAGGAAAAATAACAAGCTATACAATAATAGCTGAAGGGTTGAATGTCACACTTTCAATAATGGATGTAACATCCAGTCAGAAGATCAATAAGGAAATAAACAATTTGAACAACCTTATAAACTAACCATAGCTAACAGATATATACAGAACACTTCACCCCACAACAGCAGAATACACATTTTTCTGAAGTGGACATAGAACATTCTCCAAGATTTAGAACTTATGTAAGGCCACAAAAGAAGGCTTAATGATTTTTAAAAAAATTATATTTAACCAAATATTTTTACTGATTACTATAGAGTAAATGTAGAAATCAATAACAGAATGACGGCTAGAAAATTCAAAATTATGTGATAATTACAAGATATACTCTTGAACAACCAATGAGTCAAAGAATAAATCAAATAGAAAATGAGAAAATATTTTGAGACAAATGAAAACAGAAACACAATATATCAAAACTTATGGGATTCAGAGAAAACAGTGTTAAGAGGGGATTTATAGCTTTAAATGCATATATTATAAAAGAAGAAAGTTATCAACCAACAACCGTACTGTAGACATTAAGGAAGTAGAAATAGAAGAATAAACCAAACTAAACCTAGCAGAGAGAATGAAATAAATATATCAGAGCAGAGATAAATAAAAGAGAATAGAAAAACATCAGAGAAACATTGTGAAATCAAAAGTTGGTTGTTCAAAAAGATTAGCAAAATGAATAAGCCTTTAGGTATTTTAACTAAGAAAAAAAGATAAAATACAAAAAGAAGTAAAATCAGAAATTAAAATGGTGACATTGCTACCAATTTTACAGAAATAAAATGGACTATAAGAGAGTAGTATGAACAATGATAAGTCAACAAGTTGGAAAACCTAGGTAAAAATTCCAAATTTCTGGAAGCACACAACTACCAAGAATAAACTATGAAGAAATAGATAATCTGAATAGGCCTACAACTATCACAGAGATTGAATCCATAATCAAACACCTTACAGCAAAAGAAAGCCCTGGATCATATAGCTTCACTGGCAAATTTTACCAAAAATTTAAAGAAAAATTAACACAAATTTTTATGAAACTCTTCCAAAAGTAGAAGAGGAGGGAATATTCCCTAACTAATTATATGAGGCCAGCATTAACTTGATACCAAAGTTAGACAAAGTGACTATAAGACTTAAAACTACTGAAAAATAATCTTTGTGAATATAGGTGTAAAATTCTGCAACAAAATACTAGCAAAACATACTCAGCAACATATTAAAAAGGTTATACACCATAAAGAAATAGGATTTATTCTGGGACTGCAAAAGCAGTTCGACATACAAAATTCAATTGTTTTAACCAAAATGATCTACAGGTTCAATTCAATCTCTAAAAAAGCCCCAATGGCATTTTCTGCAGAAATAGAAAAATCTATGCAAAATTTGTATGCAATCTGGAGAGATTCAAATAGCCACAACAGTCTTGATAAAGAAGAACAAATCTGGAAATCTCACACTTTCTGATTTAAAAAAAATATTACAAAATCACAGTACTCAAAACAGTGTGGTACTGGGATGAAGACAGACAAATAGACCAATAGGCTATATTAGAAACCTCAGGTATAAGCTCTCATGTATATGATCAAATAATTTTAGACAAGGGTGGCAAGAACACTCAGTGGGAAAAGGACAGCTCTTCAACAAATGGCTTTAGAAAAACTGGATATCTACACACAAGAGTGAAGTTGAATCCTGATTTTATATAATATTAACATGTAAAAATAACCCTAAATCGATTAAAGACCAAAGCATAAAACCCAAAATAATAAAACTTTTAGAAGAAAAGCTAGGAGAGAAGCTTTATGACATTAGATCTGGCAATGATTTCTTGCCATGACATGGAAATTACAGACCACAAAAACAAAGATGGTCAAATGAGACTACATCAAAGCCAAAAACTCCTCTGCATTGAAGGACACATTTAACAAAGTGAGAAGGCAAACTATACAATGATAAAATATTTTAAAATCATATGTCTGATAAGGGGTTAGTATACAGAATATATCAAGAATTTCTACAATTCAACACCACCACAAAACTTGATTTAAAAATAGGTATAAGACTTGAATAGGTGATTTACATATTGCCAAAAAGCATATGAAAAGATGCTCAACATCACTAATCACCAGATAAATGCAAATCAAAACCACAGCAAGATATCACCTCACATCCCTTAGAATTGCTACTGTCAATGAAACAGAAATAGCAAGGGTTGGTGAAGATGCAAACAAATTGGAACCCTTTTGCACTGTTGGTGAGATTGTAAAGTACTGGAACTGCTGTGAATAGGAACATGGAAATTTCTCAAAAAAATTTTTGTAAAAAATTACCCTAATATTCAATAATCCCCTTTTTCAGTATATATCCATTTTGAGTACATATTGAGTATATATGAAATAGGTTATTTTCACAGCCCTATTTATAGCAGCTTTATTTACAAAACTCAAGAGGTAGAAGCTGCCTGAATGTCCATTGATGGATGAATGGATAAACAAAATTTGGCATAACCATACAATTCAGCCTTTTAATGGAAGGAAATCCTGTTACATGCTATGATATAGATGAATCTTGAGGAATTATGCTAAGAAAATAAGCCAACTACAAAAAAAAAAAACAAATAAGGTA
This sequence comes from Homo sapiens, assembly GCF_000001405.40. NCBI lineage: Eukaryota > Metazoa > Chordata > Mammalia > Primates > Hominidae > Homo > Homo sapiens. Next base: position 79,189,899 of record NC_000023.11, on the reverse strand, counting down.
TAAATCCACTTACATGAGGTATCCAAAGTAATCAAATTCATGGAAACGGAAAGTTGATGGTGGTTATCCGGGACTGGGGGAAGGGAGAAATAGAGAGCTGCTGTTCAATGGATATAGAGTTTTAGTTCTACAAAATGAAAATATTCTGGAGATTTGTTGCTCAGCAATGTGAATATACTTAAAACTCCTGAATTTTACACTTAAAAATGGTTAAAATTATAAATTTTATGTTTTTACCCATAATAGTATTGGTATAAATATAAATTATTGTTGTTACATACCACATTAACAGAATAAAGGAAAAAAATCACATGATAATCATAATTGATGCAAAAAAAATACATTTGGGAAAAGTAACCACCCTGTTATTATGAAAACACTCAACAAATTAGGTTTGGAGGGAGACTGTTTGAACATAGTAATAGCCCTACATAAAAATACCACAACTAACAACATGCTCAGTGTTGAAAAACTGAAAGTTTTTGTTCTAAAATCAGGAATAAGGATGCATTCTTTCAGTGGTTCTATTCAACATAGTACTGGAGAGTCTAACCAGAGCAATTAGGCAAATAAATAAAAAATAAATGGCATGAAACGTGTAATGAAAGAAGTAAAATATCTGTATTCAGAGATAGCATAATTTTATACATAGAAACCATAAGTATTCCACAAAAAAAACTCCAAAACTGTTTAAACTAATAAATTGAACCATAGTGGCAAAATCAACATGCAAAAATCAGTTTTGCTTCTCTACATTGCCAAAAAAAATCCAAAAAGTCAATTAAGAACAATTCTTTTTATAGTAGCATTGAAAAGAAACATTACTTAGTAATAAACTTAATCCAGGAGGCAAAAGGCTTGTACACTGAAAAAAACAAAACATTGGTGCAAGAAGTGGAAAAGACACAAATAAATGTGTAGACATTTGGCATTCATGGATTGAAAGACTTATATTGTTAAGTCATTAATACTAGCAAAGCAATCTACAGATTCAATTTGATCCCCATTAAAATGATGTATATTGTAGAATAGGAAAATCAAATAGAAAAATCAAAATGGATCAAAGACCTTAATGTAAGAGCTAAAACTATAAAACTATTAGAAGAAAACATGAGGTAAAGATTCACAACATTGAACTTGGCACTGATTTCTTGGATAAGACACCAAAAGTACAGGCAACAAAATAAAAATATGCATACATTTTATTTTATAAAAGCTAAAAAATTTTGTGCCTCTAAAGACACTATCAAAAAGTGAAAAGGCAACCCACAGAATGAGAGAAAAATATTTGTATTACATATGTCTGTTAAAGCTTTAATTGCCACAATATATTAAGAACTTCTACACCTCTATAGGAACAAAAAAAAAACAATTAAAAATGAGGAAAGTCCTTGAATAGACACTTCTCCAAATCGCCTATACACACATGAAAAGATGGTGTCAACATCAGTAATCATTAGGGAAATGCAAGTCAAAACCACAATGAGATGTCCCTTCACACCCATTAGGATGGGGAGTATGAAAAAAAATTGGAAAATAACAACAGTTGGAAAAGTTGTGGAGAATTTGGCATGCTAGTGCATTGCTGGTGAAAAATGTAAATGGTACAGTCATTAAAAAAAAACTGTACTGTGCTTCCTCAGAAAATTAAAAATGGAATTATTGTATAATCCTTCAAGTCCATTTCTGAGTATGTACCCAAAATAATTAAAACAGTGACTCAAACAAATATTTATTTCTCAATGTTCATAGCAGCATTACTCACAGTAGCCAAAATATGGAAATGCCCCAAATGTCCACTGAGAGATGAAGAAATAAACAAATTATGGTATATACATGCAATGGAATATTATTCAGCCTTAAAAAGGAATGAAATTCTGATACATGTTACCATACGGATGAATTTTGAAAATATTGTGCTAAGCCAAACACAAGAGGATAAATATTGTGTGATTCCACTTATATGAGGTACCTAAATGGAGAAATTCATTGACACAGAAAATAGAATTATGATTACCAGTGGCTGAAGTAAGGAGGGTATGGAGAAATATTGTTTAATGGATACAAAGTTTCAGTTTGGGATGATAAAAAGTTCTGAACCTGTATAGTGGTAAGGTTGCACAACAATATTAATGTACATCATGCCATTGAATTGTACACTTTAGTATAGTTAAAACAATAAGATGAAAGTTATACATATTTTATAAAAAAAATAGGTATAAGAATTTTGAAACATTCATTTGTCAAATATTTACCAAAATGCTATTTTATGCCAGTCACTATGCTAGGTAGGTACTTCATTGAGAATTAATGGTCAGTTGTTATGAGTATACAACTTGGGTTCCAAACCGGAGTCTACCACTAGCTAACTCTGTACTTTGGTAAATACTTTTTCCTCTGTGAGACTTAGGTTTTTAATTGTAAAATAAAGAAGTTTGATAAAACCAAACTTAAAATTTGCATAAGAATAATTCAGAGTACTTGCTAACATACCAATTCCTTGGCCCTACTCAAGGGATCATGATTTGGGGAAGGGCAATCTTTGAAATAAATTTTAAACAAGTAGCCCCAGAGCATTATGAACCTGGTAGGTTACAGGCCACACTTTGACAAATACTCTACCAGACAACCTTAGGATTCTTTTACCTCTAAAATCATATGAATCAATTTCACCCACTGTCATTCCACAGTTTCAGAAATTTCCCATCAACCACCTATTTTCTTTAGAGTACCATCCCTGTTTTGCTACCTGTTAGCATTGTTAACAAATTCATATCATTAGCATGGACTACTTCATCAAATTAAATAAACCTGAGAGATCTGGCACTGAGATAATGAGAAAGCACAACAGGGCATATAGCAGGGCCAGGGTTACAAAATGGCAATGGACATCTGGGAAAGCAGAAAAGGAAAGCACAGGTTACAATGAAAAATTATTTATTAGACCTTTCTCCCATCAACCCTATCCTGGATAAGTGAGATATAAAGACTTATTGAAAACCCAGTCCTTTTGATGTCTCTCTCCCGAAAAAAAAAAAAAAAGAAACTTTTAAAAAATATGCATGTGACAACTAAAGACAGAGTTTGAGTTAAGAGCAATGTTAAGTTTTAGGGAGCCAAAAGTTGGAGTATCTTGGAAGACAATACTTCCAATTAATTTCCCAGGACAACGAGACCCATTGGAAGGTTTTTGTGAGATATTTAGACAGGGAAAATATTTTTGATGATTTAGCTAGGCCAAAAAAGTCTATCTCATATTTAGATGAGTATTTATTAGTGTTTTATCTGAAAACAGAGTCAATAGTCTTAATAGTTTTGATAGGTCTTAAGTTATTCTCTCTATATATGCAAATTCTCTCTGTTCCTGCTCAGACAGTCACCTGACTGCAAATAATTCCTTCTCCTATCACTGGCTGGGATCAGGTGTGTGTGTGTGGTGAGGGGAGTGCAGAATAAAAGAAAAATACAAGAAGGAAGGAGGAAAGGACAGAAGGAAGGAAGGCAGGAAAGAAGGAACGAAGTCAGGAAAGAAGTAAAAGGAAGGAAGGAAGGAGGGAAGGAGGGAAGGAAGGAAGGAAGGGAAGAAGGAAAAGAGAATTTCCACTGGTAAAGGAGCTGAGAGTGTAATACTTTAAATTAGTGTGAAATTTTCTACTTCTCAAGGGAAAGAGGACTACTGTTTATATGCCAGGAATCTCACCGAATTGATGCCATCTACCCCACAATGGTCCTAAAGAGAAAGTGACTTACAAGAAGGTGAGGATTGAAGGGCAAGTCCTAGTATTCACAAAGGCACAGTAAGCTTAACCTAGAGAGTTGTAGTAACAATTTTCATTTAGTGGATGAAGGTTTTAAAGGCAGTGTTAGTAAATGCCTGAGATAGGATTAATTGCTCTTTTGTCTATACAGTATGTTATTTTCAATTTGTGGCCAAGTCTCCTTGGAGACAAATTTCTTTGGGGCACTCAGCCCAGGCTTGAGGGCTCATGATAACTTTCAAGAGCTAGTAGTCAATCATGAGTCCCATCACTACTCCCTTTTAGGTCTGAATTTGAATCATTTATTTAAGATCTGTGGAACAGTGGTTCCCAAATGCCAATCCACACACAAAAAGTTTCATATGAATGGGAAAAATATAAACAATGTAGTGAGTATTTCTGCAAGGCTAAATATATTCTATTTAAACAACTTTTTTTTTATTCTGAGTTTAGACTCTTTCTTCGGGAAAGTTTGAGAGATTAAAATGTTCTTTTTAAAATAAAATAATGGTGATAGTCAATGTACTTGGTCGGTAATTTGCTTTAGCATACTTGGCAAAACACAACCTTCTGTCAACCCCTCCTACTTTTTCTTTATGAAACGTTTTTTGTACTGTGAAATCGAAGTCTGGGGTTACTTTTGCAAGACTGATCTCTAATTTGCCTGAATATATTCTAAGGATTCGAGAATCCTTACTTCAGAAGGAAATCAGAGACAAACACAGTAGTTTTTTGCATTTCCTTTCCATAAACTGTAAGGGGGCAGGTATGCATTACATCTTCAGGTGGCAATGATGACACAAAACACTAAACTCTGAAATGCCTGCCTTGTGAGCTTTAACAGCACTGTTTAACTTTCTACTGGTATTTTGTCATCTGGAGTAACTCCTTGGTTTCCGCAAGCAGTGAAGACAGAGAACAGGAATATCTTTACTCCCACACGTCACAGCATATAGAAAACCTTCAGTAACATTTCTGATTATACAGGTGATCCGATAATTTCATAAGACCACAAACCTTGAATACTAGAATGGTCCTTAGAAATTATAATTCTGTAATTTGAGCTAACATATAAATAAACTGAGGCCCTGAAGACAGTCTGTGGGTTTTTCTAAGCATAAACAGTAAAGCTGTTAATTGTGATAATAGCAATTCAGAAAGATTAGTATATTGGGCCCAAGTCAAAAGTATCATATCAAATATATACAAATTATACATGATAGTTTAAAATTTTTTTAAATTTCAGTTTGAATTCCTGTGAATAAGAGTATTTTGTTTTTCTTTTAAAGTAGTATCACCTCATTTGCTCAGATAAGCCAGTTTTTTACTACAACGATCCAGATAACTGGTGCAAATCTCTGTTACACTAGACTCCAGCTTGAACGAAGAGATAGAAAGGGGTAAAACTCCTACGACAACTTACCCTCAGGATAATAGACTCAAGGCCTACTTTAATAACATCTTTCTTAACTTCATTTTAACCCTTATGTAACCTCTTTAATAAACAGATGAAAACTGTCTCACATCCCTCTTTAATGTTATTTATAGTTTAAAAATAGATTAGGCTGGGTGCAATGGAGCATGCCTGTAATCCCAGCACTTTGGAAGGCCGAGGTGGGTGGATCACCTGAGGTCAGGAGTTCGAGACCAGCCTGACCAAAACGGTGAAACCCCGTCTCTACTAAAAATACAAAAATTAGCCGGGCATGGTGGTGGGTGCCTCCAATCCCAGCTACTCAGGTGGCTGAGACAGGAGAATTGCTTGAACCTGGGAGGCCGAGGTTGCAGTAAGCCGAGATCACGCCACTGCACTCCAGCCTGGGCAACAGAGTGAGACTCTGTCTCAAAAAAAAAAAGAAAAAAGAACAAATATCATGACTAGAAATGAATAAATGTAATAGTAATTTTAGAATAAAATTTGTTTTTACCTTAAAATATAAATGCATATATAAATATAAATATAGTCTTCTCTTGGTATCCACGGACAATTAGTTCCAGGACCTCCCCCCAGTGCCAAAAACCAAGAATACTTAAGTGCCTTATATAAAATGGCATAGTATTTCCTATAACCACACACATTTTTCCATATATTTTAAATCATCTCTATATACTTGCAGTACCTATTATAAGGTAAGTACTATGTAAATAGTTGTACTGTATTATTATTTGCCTTAATTTTTTTGGTTATATTGTTATTTTTTATTGCTTTTTTCCTCAAATATGTTCAGCGCATGGTTGGTTGAAACCAAGGATGCAGAAACCACAGATACAGAAGGTTGACTGTATGGTTAAGTTTGACCCTGTGTAATCTACATGGTAAGCTCCCAGTACCTAACTAGTACTTGCCATTAACTGATGCTCAAAAATATTTGTTTATGGATGAATGAAAAATACATGAAACTGTGACAGAAAGGCCAGATTAACATGTGCTGAGAAGTAAATGCAATGTAAAGAAACAGAGACAGCCTTATTAAGCAAGCTCTGTAGTTATTATCTTCACATCCTGTTGCCTAACACAAAGCATGTTACCTGGTACATATTTAATATTTAACTATTTGAGTAATTAACTAGTAGGAAGAGTGGACATCAACAACTTTTTCTATCATAGTTAATGTTGAAGATAGAACATAGTGTAGTTTATCATAAAGATGAAGTCTATTGCTTTGTTTTATATTTAAGTGTCACTTAACAATAGTGATACATTCTGAGAAATGCATCCTTTGGAAATTTCATCTTTGTGAGAACATCATAGAGTATACTTACACAAACCTAGAGGGTATAGTCTACTACACATCTAGGTTATATGGTATCGCCTATTGATCCTAGGCTATAAATCTGTACAGCACATGACTGACAATACTGAATATTGTGGGCAATTGTAACACAATAGTAAGTATTTGTGTATCTAAACATATTTAAACTTAGAAAGATAAAGTAAGAATATTATAATCTTGTGGTACCACTATTGCATATGTGGTAAATCATTAATCAAAACTTTGTTATATCGCACATGACTGCATTTTCACAGCCAGAAAGAGAAAAAAATACAGCTCTGCAAATACATACATTAGGTACATTATATTACTAGGTATTCCTTTTCTAAATATTTGTATTTCTCTAGCAGTTTTAATGTTCCTCACTCTCTCACTAGTCTCCCAAACACACATTTCTGCCCCCATCTTTTTCACATACCCATTTTAGAGGAATCAGCTTAGTCATTCCCAGAGGTCTCTCTAACTGAAAATCTGAAACACAGCCAGTGACACAGGTTGTGATGAGGTTAACCAGCAGACAAGGAAACTGAAAAGGGCTTAATTAAGCCTCAGTCTCATCCTATTCTGACTATATTGCTTTTCCAAACCACTCTTTAAGTGTGAACTACCTGATCATACTGCTAAGTAAAATTCAAATTATCTTTTCAGAGCTATTACATACAAGCTACTGATTTGGGGTTAACTATCTCATTAGATGATTTGTTAGCACATGATCACCATGTTCAACTCAGAAGCTGACCTGGGCAGTGGCAGAGTCAGTGGTGAGAATTTCCCTGTCCATACCAGGTCAGGTTCAGTCCTCAAACCCTGTAATACGGTTGGTAATAGGAGAAAAACTGAAATATTTTGTACTCACTCAGAAATAAGGGGTTAGAATTATAGTTGGTAAAGAAAAAACTAGACTTATTTAATTTCTACCTTAAGTCCAGCATTGACTGGATTTTTTAATAATGATTTTTACATGCTTTTGGCTAGGTCCCATTGGAACAATAACCAGGCTGGATGGATTGGTAAGGAAGTAATAAATTTCTCTCCTGGGCAATACCTTTGAGAAAGCCAATTCTCTCTTTCTGTTTGGGTTTCTGTATAATTTTGGCAGGTAAATCATGACGATTTTCCTAAGCTGATTCCCCAGAATGCAATTTTGGCTCAGGCATGGGCTTTAATGAAACCATGCTTAGACAGTTTTAAAATACAAACACATGCAACAGCTTAAAACCAAGACAAATGACTCATTTTCATTGAGGGGATAATACGTTTTTAAGGTACACAAAAGTCAAGTATGATTCTCTTTTGAAAGACGAGCATTTTCATCCAGAGCTGTGCCTATTGCAAAGAAAATCAAATTTTGTTTCTTAGACAGCACTGAATCAACTGGTAGAATTTAGTTAGACTACTAGTTACTGGTTAAACTACCAGTTTCATCATATTTGTTTCATCCACAGACTTCAGTATTCTACTGGCAATGGCAATGATCAAATAAATTAACTCTCTTAATTTTTGCTCCCTGTGTTAGAAAGACTATTTACCTAAGAAAGAATACAGAAGTTTATTTATAACAACCTCTCTGCTGGCTTTAACAGACAGATAAATGGGAATGGTCTTGCTAGTCTTAAGTCCTATTTAATTGAGAGTCAAATATATAGTAATATTGAGATTCACCTGCTGCGACACCAGTTCTCTGACGCCAACTGTGTGCCCTGTAATTCAGTTGAATTCTGACACTAACTACCCAGAAGTAATGCAGAGCCCACAGGGGCAAGTCCTTCACAAGACCACTACCACCTCAGATGCCAGCTGCAAGTTTCAGATGTGCCTAAGCCAATTACACTTCTCCTTGGTGGCCTACAAATTTGGGGCTTTCTGTAACCTCCTTGGGTTAAATAATTCACTAAAATTACTCACAGAACTCTTGAAAGTGCTACTCTGTGATTACCATTTTATTATAAATGATGAAAGTGAACAGCTATATAGGGCAAGGTCTGGAAGGATCCTTAGTGCAGGAGCTTCTGTCTCAGTGGAGACATGGTGTGCCAACCTCCTGGTATATTAATATGTTCATCAACCAGGAAGCTCCTCTGAGCCTTGATGTCCAAGATTTCATCTGGGTTTTGTTATGTAGGCATGACTGATTAAATGACTGGACATGTGATTGAACTCAATCTCCAGCCTATCTCCTCTCCCAGGAGGTTGGACAAACTCGCTAATCACATGGTTGGACTTTCTGGTGACTAGCCCCCATCCGGAAGCTATCTAGCTGCCCTCTTTCCCTTCAGTTACTTCTTTAGCATAACAAATACACTGTTACCACTCAGGAAATTCAAATGATTTTTTTAATTCTATGCAGAGAACTCTGAGAAAAGACCAGACATATTCTATATTATACCACACAAACACAAGGAGGTACATATGACACAAAAAAGTTGAACATATTTCCTCTTAGATATGGATTGGATGGTACCTGAAAATTTTGTAAGACCTTGGGTTAACACCATGAATCTGAACTGTTATTGTATGCTATGAACCATAAACTATCAATTGATATAGCATTCCATATGAAGAGTGCTGGATAACAGATTTCTACTTATTTAGATTTATTATATATGTATGCATTCAACATACATTTTTTGCGTATTTACTGTGTTGCAGGTAGTGAGCTAGGCATTGCAGACACAAAATGAACAAATCAAATATTCAAGTGGGGCAGACATACAAGAAACAAATTTTAAAAATAATTACAAATTAGGAGTCATGAGGGAAAAATTCAAGGTAACATATTAGAAATAAACTTGTGTCTCTGGGGTGGGGAACTCTTTAGCTAGGGTGCCACTTTGAGAACTGAAGGACTTTTAAAACTGAAGGAAGATACAAGACAGCTATTGGAAGAACATTCTAGGCAGAGGGAACAGTTACTGCAAAACACTTTTGAAGTGATTTTAATTCCTTTGAGTAATTAAGTTTGGGGGCAATGCTATGCTATATATCTGAGTTGATTCATACATGGGAGGTTAGAAAGGGAGTGTTGCTTCCTCTCTAGGAACAGAGCAAAGAAAACATTGGTGAGACACTGATAAATAGTCATTCCACATATCCTCCTCTTTGATTTCCCAGCTTGCTGATATTAAACCTTGTTCATACACTGCCAGGGCACCACTATTATCACATTTTCTAGAGGCTACTGCTTTTTTTGCTGTAGGTATAGGTGATATTGGAGGGTTTGGATAACCCCAACGGGGAAGAAAAGATGTGGTTTTATTAGGGAAAGTGGTGGTTTTAAAAAATGGAATGAACATACAAAGGTCTACTGGGTTTTGAAGTTTAGATGGCATCTTTAGGGCAGATGACATTGCTGGTGCCTTTGATATCCCTAGAATGATAGGGACACACTGTGTCCCCATATTTATTTTTCATTTCGTCCATAATAAAGTAATATCAAATAGCATATGGCCACCTGAATAATGACTATAATTTCTAACCTCCCTTGCAGCTTGGCAGGGCTACATAGCTGATTTTTAGCCAGTGGTTTGCAAACAGAAAGAATATTCACAATTTCTAGTCATCCACTTAAAGGGAAGAGGCATGCCTCCTTTTCCCCATTTCTCAGTCATACTAGCTACAATATAAGTGTGATAAGATATGATTAAAAGAAAACTTTACACAAATTAAATTTATCAGAGTTTGAGCAAAGAGCAATTTGTGAATTGGGCAGCACTCAGAAACAGAAGAGGTTTAGTGAGCTTTGCTTTAGTAGTGTGAGTAGCAGGCTTTTATAGTTTGAATGTGGAAGCAAAGTAAAGAAATCACTTGATTGGCTACAGATAGGAATTTGCTTTATTTGGGTTGAAAGTCCCTAGTTAAAGGGTTTTGGCAGTTTCTGATTGGTTAAGTTTAAGCTTCATTTTGCTGTTACATTGGGCTTCACTTTGCTTATGTAGAAGCCCAAGACACTAGAGCCATTTCTGCATAAGGACCTCCCATTTATTTATTTATTTTAATTTCAAAAATATTTGTAGGTGGCCAGACGTAGTGGCTCATGCCTGTAATCCCAGCACTTTGGGAGGTTGAGGTGGGTGGATCACGGGTCAAGAGGTCGAGACCATCCTGGCCAACATGGTGAAATCCCATCTCTACTAGAAATGCAAAAATTAGCTGGGCGTGGTGGCCCACACCTGTAGTTCCAGCTACTCAGGAGGCTGAGGCAGGAGAATCGCTTGAACCCAGGAGACACAGGTTGCAGTGAGCTGAGATCGTGCCACTGCACTCCAGCCTGGTGACAGAGCAAGACTCCATCTCAAAATATATATATATATGTTTGTAAGTACACAGTAGGTGTGTATTTTTATGTGGTACATGAGATATTTTGATACAGGCATGGTATGTGAAATAAGCACATCATGGAGAATGCGGTTTCCATCCCCCTGAGCATTTATCCTTTGAGTTACAAACAATCCAATTACACTATTTAAGTAATTTTAAAATGTACAATTAAGTTATTTTTGACTATAGTCATCCTGTTGTGCAATCAAATGGTAGGTCTTATTCATTCTACTTTTTTTTTGTACCCATTAACCATCCCCACCTCCCCAACACCACCCCCATCACACTTCCCTGCCTCTGATAATCATTCTTCTACTCTCAATGTCTATGTACTCAATTGTTTTGATTTTTAGATCCCACAAATAAGTGAGAATATATGATGTTTGTCTTTCTGTGCCTGGCTTATTTCACTAACTATAATTATCTCCAGTTCCATCTATGTTGTTGCAAATGACAGAATCACATTCTTTTTATGCTGAATATTACTCCATTGTGTTTATGTACCACATTTTCATTATCCATCCATCTGTAGATGGACACTTAGGTTGTTTCCAAATCTTAGCTATTTGTAAACAGTGATGCAACAAACATAGGAGTGCAGATATCTATTTGATAAATTGATGTCCTTTCTTTCGGGTATATACCCAGCAGTGGGATTGCTGGATTTTATGGTAGCTCAATTTTTGCTTTTTTGAGGAACCTCCAAACTCTTCTCCATAGTGGTTGTGCTAACACCACTATGTACATTCCCACCAACAGTGTATGAGGTTCCCTTTTCTCCACATCCTTGCTAGCATTTGTTATTGCTAGTCTTTAAGAAAAAAACTCATTTTAACTGGGGTGAGATAATATCTCATCATAGTTTTGATTTACATTTCTCTGACGATCAATGATGTTGAGGACCTTTTCATATGACTGTTTGTCACTTATATGTCTTCTTTTGAGAAATGTCTATTCAAAATTTTTGCCCATTTTTGAATCAGATTATTAGATTTTTTCCTATAAAGTTGTTTGAGCTCCTTATATATTATGGTTATTAATCCCTTGTCAAATGGGTAGTTTGCAAATATTTTCTCTCATTCTGCATGTTGTCTCTTCACTTTGATGATTATATTCTTTGCTGTGCAGAAGTATTTTAACTTGATGTGATCCCCCAATTAATTTTTTAAACGATACCTTGCACCATTCAGATTAAAGGAATACCCAAGAAATATTGGTGTTACAATACAGAAATCTAGGTCTAAAACATCTCGCAAACAAAAGCTACCATGCTAGAACTTTTCCATAAAAGAGAAATACATTTGTTTGTAGTTTAAGCTACATTTCTGTTAACCACAGTTGAACCCATAGCCTAACTAATCTATTCTTGTCAGAAGAAATTGAAAGGCAGAAAATGTGTAATGCTTGAGGGAAACTTTACAGAAGTCTACCCACCTATGTATGAGCAGTGTTCACAGAGTACAGATAACTATGGCATAAGCTTCAGAAATATTGCAGAGTGTACATTTACATAGATGCATTCTAATACTACTTTATGAGTATTGTTTAGTGGACCATTTTGACTACAATATGGAAATGTAATCTGTTAACATTGGTATTTTTATATTCAGTGGAGCTGAGTGTACTGGACTCCTTCTCATGGGAGCCATAATTTGGACCAAGGAGACCCTGAACTGAATTCAACATTAGTCTTCATTACATTTCTGCAGCAGAAGAAACACTTACCTAAAGAAAAACAGACTCAGGTTAGTAAATGTTGTTTTCTGAGTTTAAACTTGTTCAGATTAATCAAAGAGAAATTCTTCTACTTTTTGGGATTTAGCGTTTGATGTCTTTACTGAATACATCTAAAATCAGTTTTTATTCCTCGGCACCTTTTGATCATACATTAAACAGTTCATTTAAATGGTACTGTGATTTACTACAGTATTCATAGATTAAATTATGTAAGGGAAATGCACTTTAATATAATCTGGAGCAGGAGATTGGATGCAGACATAGAAGAAAAAAGACTGGGCCATGTGTTGATATTGTTTGAATTTCAATAATGGGTGTTCATTTTATTTATTGCTCTTCTTTTGAATATGTTTGATGTTTTTCATAGTAAAAAGTTTACCGAATTACTTTTTTCATAGTATTATCTCCTTATATATATTTTAGTAAAAAAGTTAAACTCGTTTAATGACAGAGGGCAGTAATGTGATTTCAGAACATTTTTAAGCTGTTATTATGGGTTTTACTTTATGCAAAGACAATGTGGGTAATTTATAGTATGACTACTTCCTCTATGCTTCTACGCCAATACCATAACTTGAACCATCATTTCTTCAAACTCTTTTTGTTTATTTTTGTCCTCTTATTAGGAATGCTACAAGTCTTCTTACAAGTTGTAGATACTCAACATTGTTTAGAAAAGTCCGAAAAATCTCACTATTATGGGCCAGAATCAAACTTCAAGAGCTCCTGCAATAAAAGTAAATGCTGGAGTCAGAAGGGCAGGCCTAATGACAGCCTTCCCTGTGGAGCAGTTGTTCTATTATTCTTTGAAGAGATACAAGAAGGCAAATGGAAGGCTTTGAATAGGGCTATGCCTGTAGCTGAATCTGAAGATATGCATTGCAGTAAGAAGTAGGATGAAGATAATTATTCCCCAAACAATAGAAAAAATAGAGTATTGGCATATTTCTATTACTTGAGTTATTTGGCAAAATCAAGTAGTGGTTAAGGCTGAATAAGTTCTGAAGAAGAGGAAATGGTCTGTGAAGTTCAGTAAAATTACAATTTGCTCTCCCCCTCCCCATACCACATCCTTTAATAACCAAGAAATAAGCAAGTGAAAATAGCCACATTTGCTTGAGAGTTTATCTCTCACTCCCTCCTCCCTTACCTCCACCACTCCATCAAAATATGGTGGTAAAGACAGTGAAGTTGTTTCTGGACGGACTTTAGGAGGGCACAGAACAGGTCTCTATAAAACGCGAGGGCATTTGAAGCATAGGGCATGTCTGGTATCTATATCCCATTATTTTATTTAGGTTTACCAAAGCATCAAAAATTCTTCCTTGGGAAACCCTTCACCACTTCCTAGGAAAATATTTTTGCAACAGCCAAAATGTATAATTCCTAAAAATTTGGTTATTATAGAAGATATTTGGGGTCCTGAAAGTGCTAGGGATATAGGTAAGATGATGAGGGAGTTACTGAAATAGAAGAAAGAGAGCCAGGCTGAGGAAAGGGTCAGAGACAATTTTCCTGACTTCACCCTTTTTTTTTTTATTTAAGTGGATCTGTTTTGAGAAGAGCAGAGGGGGACAGTAGAAGATGAGTTTTTATTTTCCCCTGACAATCCAGAGAAAAAATCAGACTGCCACATCTTAACAACCCTTAAGACTAAGAAGAAAAGATTCTCTCTGTTCCATCATTACAAATATAGAGCTTTAAGTAGTTCTAATAAACTTGGTCCACAGTGAAGATGGGGAATAATTTTTAGCAGAATATGAATAGTAAAACGTCTATCTATGGACAGAGTGAGTGGCAAGAGTGGGGTAAATTTGGGGGTGTGGTTTGTCTTTCCTTTCGAGAATAGACTGCACCTCTCAAAGAGAGAAAAAGTGAGAATAGAGTCTTAGGGGACTTTTATCCATGCATGTGAGAACACTAAAAAAGATCATCAAGTCTATCGGTGTGTTGAAAGAAGTGACTAAGTACACATTGACTTCTGGAGGCAGAAAATTTCTATGTAATTACAAAGACAATCTTTATTATTAAAATGAATATTATAAGTTATAGCCATAAATAAATTCCAAGTGCAACATTTTCACAGTATCTTGGGAGTAAAATCAAAAGGTGACATAAAATGTAAGTTGCGCAAGAGTTCCACAGATGCACCCTCTCAGACCAAGGCAGCTTGGTCTGTTGCTCCTGGGGCAGATGGCTTCTCTTTGTGGAATTACCAGCTAACAGAATTGGCTGCTTAACTGAGTGACAATGAAAACATATAAACCATTTGAATATAATAATAATAACAATATTTTTACATAGAAATCACTACATACAAAGTTTTTCTTATTGGAATACTTACGCATTTTTGAATCAAAATTCAACAACTTTATATAGGAAATGTGGAATTATTTATCTTGAAGTATACATTACTATGGTTGAGGGTGTTTACTCTTTGCACCACAATTTCATAGAACCCAGAGAGTGATAAATGAGAAGTCTGGATAAGCCATGGAATGGAGAAGCTCAGAGAACAGGCTGCTGTCTGGATCGTAGCTGCACCAGTACTCCTAAATTAGTAAGCTACTAGTTTAGACTTTCCCCTGAAAATCAGGCCCAACGTAGGAAAGGAGAGAGGCAAAATGAAAAGAAGGTGAGCAGACATCTGAGAAACTGATAGCCATGTTCATGGATACATTTCTTAATTTCTTAAAAGTCAGCATTCCCATTATGGTAACCAAAGTAGGTGTTTGCTTACTGTATGCAATATGAAAGGCAGTGCTGTGGGACCCACTTTATCCAAAATTTCTTTCCCTCCAGTCTGTCTGCTTCAGTATGTATTAGCCCTCCATTGAAAGTCACCACTTTGGTTTAATGCCTAGTCCTAAAGCCTGGAATTCAGATATTCCTGGGTAAATTAATATGAACCTAACATTAGCTATTAGCACCATGGTGTGAATGAATTGATCAGGTTGCTGCCTGGGAGAGCAAGGGAATCAAGCAGAAGACAAAACATATTGATGGGATAAGGGGTGAATAAAGTAAATCAGAGCACTGAATACAAACGTAGATGGGCAGGCCTGGGGAAAAAGGGTGTCCTCAGCTAAGCAGCATAACACTGAATACTGGTCCTTTTTTGGAATGATGTAAATGGGCTGCCTAACAAATGGGCCCTACCCTCAACCATTCATCTAAGAAGGTCAAACATCTCCTGAAAATATTTCCCTTCCTCTTTAAGAAAAATATAGTCAAAGTGAAATCAATATGTTAATTAAATCAAATCAATCATCTTCCAAAGTGACCTTAGGAAGTGTAATTCATGCTAATCTAGAAAATACTAAGCACAAATACTATAGATAAGACTCTCACATTAAAAGTACCCACAGTTATTTCACAATTCCACAAAATTATTACTTGCAATCCTATTGCAACACTAAATTATAGTCAAACAAAAGACACTTTAAAGCAAAGAGACAAGACACAGTTATAGATGCCCTATTTAAAATACAGTTTAACACTTATTGAAAACTTATTTAACACATCAAAACATATACCTTACAATGATTAGTTAGGAGACACATAGATACACTTGCTAGCAGCACAAAGTCAGTTTTCTAATAGGGTATTATCTTAATAACAACATATGTGTAAAATCAACACTTGTCCAAAGAAAACTTTAGAAAACTTTCCATCAGTCTAGATATTAGAATTCATTTTGATGTCACCAGTTTTCCCCTAATGTATTAGTATCATAACTGTATGCCTAAAACAACCCCTTTCCTCTAAATATGATAAAGCCTTTGATTGGGTTCTACATTCCTTCTGTGAGACGTAGAAGGTATCTTCATTATATAGCACACAGATTTTAAGTAGAACTTTCTTAAAGTTAGAGCTTTTTGCTAAAACATGTTTCAAAATATTCTAATACTTACAACCTAAGGTTTAATTACGACTAATATCCTGGGTCTGTTTCCCACACAATAGTACCAAACAGGTAGTAGGCAAGTCATTGGCCATTGGTTGCCAAAGGCTGACCAAATTAATCTTCTATGCATTTTTCAAGAGGTGAAATAATTGCCTTCCCCAGCTGCTAAGAGCTAGGCTTTGTAGGCTTTAGAATGGTATGTCTGGGGCAAAGCTAGACCAAAAAAAATCAATGTGGATTCTAGGGTCCATGTGACTGACTGTAATATGTATGCAATGATGGGGCAGAGAGACTTACTCTGGCTTGTGTAAGTAACTTGGCAGTCTAAGCTAAGTAAGTGTCCTTGTATTAGAGTAAGAAATACAATGTGATGAGAATTTTAAAAAGATTACCCAACTTTGCTTCATCTTTTCACTCTGGCCCAGGTTTAATGATTCATTAGTGCACTACTTCTTCCACAGGCTCAGAAAGTGCAGGAACCTGTCAACATTACCTCAATGTATCTCTAGAAACATGATAAAAACTTCCTCTACTAGGCGGGTCCATACATCTCCAGAAGTGTTCTTTAGAAAAAGTGTAAGAGAGCAGAATTGTGATTGTCACCTTTCTGCTTTCTCCTAGGCCTAGAGCCCAATTGAGTCACCTTGTATGGACTTTGACAAACTACCTGTCCTAGGTAGATGCAACACGGCATCTTTTCCAGTCACAGAGGGTTGTCGTATGTAAATATGTATATTGTTCTTAGTTTAAATATGCCAGAGGCCTGAGTTCAGATTTTCATTCTGTGAACAGGTGTGACAAATGATGTTTCATGTTGACACAAAAATGAAGAAAATAGCTATTTTAATCTTCAAACTCTGAAGAGTAATCACACTTGAGAGATAAAAATGATCTTATGTTTACATTTTCTTTACACAGGGTAATATATCATCTATCCCACTAAAATATAACCAAACATATGAAAATGGCATGTAAACTGTGATTACTAATATAAAAAGACACTTACATTTCCTCTGAACATAAAGACTCAGTATCTGTTGCAACAAAACTAAATGTTTATGGTGACTCCAAGCTAATAATCTTTTTGTGCCTGAGGTTCACAGGTAAAAGTACTGACTACAGTTGAGTGCATATGTTTATAGGATGTCACAGAAATTTGATATTTTAAGATTTACAGACTTGAAGAAAAATTACTACATGGACATGTCAACATCAATAATCGTGGATCGTAATGCTCCAAATAGGTCCTGCTTTGAAGAAGTGAATTCCCCATAGCAGTAAGATAGAGCAGAACTGAAAAGCTGTGTTGTTTTGCAAGTTCTTCCCTGTGGCTTGGGTATTGCAGATATGTTCTGATGTACTTGCATTTCAGGTCACATTCAGTTTGGTTTTTTGTTTTAGCATAATTCAGGTGTCATGGTGGAAGCTGTATGGTTACTCACAAAGGATTTTGCATGGAGTTGGATGCTGTCATGCAAATCTTGTCTTGAAAGCCGTCTTCGGAACTCATTAGTGGAAAAGTAGTATATGACTGGGTCAAGACATGAATTCAGACTAGCAAGACACAATGCCACAGAATGAAATATTAGAATCACCCTTCTGGCTAGGCAGCTTTTAATTTCATTGGACTTCACCAGGAAATCTAAAGGAAAACTGAAATGATAAGGTGCAAAGCAAATTAGGAATACCCCTGCACAGGTTAGAATCATCTTCAAGGCTTTCTGTTTCTCTCCAAGATCTTGGGCCATGGGATATTTATCTTGCAGTGATAAAACCGTCTTCCAGGTACAATATAGGACAATCAGAAGCGGAGTTACAAACCCAATCAACTCGCCAATGGTCATCATAACAACGGACTGGGCCAGGTTGACATTCCTGGTAGGAAGATCCACAAAGCATTTGGTCCTATTGCCAGAGGTATCATCACTGGTTCTGAGGAGTGGAAAGAGTACACAGGCAAGGCAGATGATCAGCCAGCCAGCAATGCTGATGTACAGGTCATATTTCTGTTTGCAGTCATGGAAGCGAAAGGGGTACATGAGAAACCAAAATCGTCGCACACTGATGCAGACCAAGAAGTAGATGCTTGCATACATGTTGACATACTTCAGGTAGAAACAGAACATGCAGAGACCAGGCCCAAATGGCCAGTCATGATTCAAGTAGTAGAAGATCCTCAGTGGCAAGGAAAGAACTTGTAGTAAGTCAGCAATGGCTAAGTTTATCATAAATATCACAGCTCGTTTTGTTTCTTTCATATAACCATAGAATACCCACAGGGCTAATATATTCCCTATGAGACCTGGCACAAGAATGACAGTGTATGTCACTGCATAAATAAAGTATCGAAAATCTGTATTGTCTCCATCTGGCCTGGTACACGTGTAATTAGCAGGCATGATTCTCTCTAGAGAAACTATCTTTGCCTAATGGTGGTTCAAAACTAAATTCACAATCAACTGCTGTTCCTTCCAAAAGATTGATTGCCAGTGGGTTGGAGATACGAAGTATAAAATAACCTTCCTCTTTTTACCACATCTGTCTGAGTCTCTACGTATGATTTGGGGATTTTTCAAAGAATGATCTGCATTTTTGATTTAGATTTCTCTAGAGTAACTACATGGAAGTCTAGTGTACAAGCACAGATGACAAGCTGTTACAATTTCCCCTCTTGTTTATTTTAAGGCCCTCTGGGACATCATGAGAGCTTATTCTCTCCCATTTGGAAAAGGAATGTACCATATAGCAGTTCCTCAAATTCCTATATGACGATAGCCTTCTCTTTACAGGTGTCTGGCAGGCCGTTTTTCTTTTTTTGGCTCACATAGAAGAAAGGATTGCTTTAGTGCACAATGAGTCCGCCACTCTTCAGGGATGATTAACTTGGAAAGATCAGCTTTCTGGGACTTTTTCAGCTATAGGTCAAAAGCTAAAAAGTAGGAAACAAAGGCAGAGCTGCAAGCAAAAGAAAATAAGTCAATTATTTCCTGGCCCAGCTTTGAAAAAAAAAAAAAAGCCTGTGTTCAGAAAAATATTCTAGTTTGAATGAAAAAATTCTTAAGTAAGGGAAGGGTATATGCTGCAGTTTCTACAAGGCACTTTATAATCACAGAAAAACATAGCTTGAAAGAACATGAGAAGTAATCTAGCCCCTTGTTACTCAAAATTCATGAACGAATGACGCTTGGGAGCTTGTTACAAATTCAAAATCTCAGGCGTCACCCTGGACCTGATGCATCAAGATCTGCGTTTTAACAATGAACTCAGGTGATTCTTCTGCGTATTAACATTTGAGAAGCTATGATTTGGACTACTGCTTCACTAACATTACTGATTGTCTGAATCATCTGGGGAAGGTTAAAAATTAAAATACAAGCTTCTGGGTGTTTCCTCCAGAGATTCTGATTGAGTATTCATGGGGTACAGTATGCAATTTGTATCTTTTCAAAGCTCTCCATTTGGTTTTGAAATAGCCAGCCCAGCATTTGTCCTTGAACCATCATTTGATCCAAATCATTCCTATATGTCTAAAAATAAATGGACAACCAGCTTCTCTTTAAATAATCCCATTTACAGGAGTCATTTAGTCACCTCTTAGTTACCTGAGACAACAGATGTAGCACCAGAGCAGAGAATCAAAATCCATAGAAAGTTGACTCAGCTGGGTCTATGACCTTTATTCTGAGGTAAGTAAATTTTAGCTTAGGGGCCTGGATAGTTGCCTCAAGGCTGCTGAAATCTAGGAGGACTTAACTAACTTTAAAGATATGTGTGGGAAGAACAAAAATGAAATGGGAATTATGAAACATCCTGCTTTGAATGATCAAATCCATGTGGTTTGAAGTGTGCGTCATTGAGCCCCTGAACAAATTATTATTATTTTACTTCAATTTCATGGTAAGTGAAACAGCACGTTTTATTCAAAGATATGATACTCACTTTACTTAAAAGGCTTGATGAGTGATTCATAATATGCCTTTGGATTGAAGAGATTAAATACCCGAGATTTCTCAGGTAAGGAAGACATAGAAAGATAGTGTTATAAAAAACAGTGAAGCACAACTGTAAATAATACCACTTTTCTTTGAGATTGTCCTTTCACAAGAAAAAATCCATATTTTAACTGGGACTGAAACAGACTCCAATTTTAAATGAGACACTTATTGGAAGGAAATGCCAAGCTCCTTGGGCAGATTTTTTTTTTCCTCAGCATACTGTATTTCCTCAATTGTACTTACTTTCTTGGTACGAGGAAAAAAGTAGAGAGAAAGGGAATTGATTGCCTGAATTCAGCATGCTAATTTTTCAGCCATATGTAAGTGAGAAACTATTTCATATGGAGTTCTTATGGGAAGTTATTGTTTTTTATTTATGAATATGAATATGTTCATCCAAATCTGAAGCTTTACTTAGTTGTACTTATGTTTCAAAAGTATTTTCCAGCAATATTAGGTCTCTGGTTGCTTGTCCAGGTGAAGTCTCATTCAAAGGAATATTAGAAATGGCTTTCTGTATCATTTTGCTGAGACCTACTATATGCAAGCTTCATTATCTATGAAGATGGTAGTTGATAGCACCTTAAAACTTTCTCCCTTCAAAATGTGCACCTGGGTTTTAACTAAATAAAATGAAAGATTAAAAATACTAGATTATCAAATTACTTAATTCCTTTTTTTGGTGTTGTTCTTAAGAGACAGTCTTAAGAGACAAGACAGCTCTGTCTTATCTCCTGGGTTGGAGTGCAGATACACGATCCTAACTCACTGCAGCCTGGAACTCTTGGGCTCAAGCGATCCTCTCACCTCAGCCTCCCAAGTAGCTGGGACAACAGGTGCATACTACTGTGACAGCTAATCAAAAAAAAAAATTTGTAGAGATTGGGGTCTTGCTTTGTTGCCCAAATTGCTCTCCACCTCCTGGCTTTAAAAGATGCTCCTGTCTCAGCATCCCAAAGTGTTGGGATTGTGCCCAGCTTAAATTGCCTAATTTCTAATGGTGGTCTTTGAGACACTAATTGCAAGTAGAGATGCCATCTGGGGTGTGAAGCCCTGTCCAGAAACCATCCCATCACAGGTAATAAGCAACCACTTGCTCAAAATTCAACTTTATATTACAGTTCTGGTTAGGTGCACACTTTATTAAGCCCAGAAAAAGCAGACCTAGTGTGCTGCAAGTGACTGCAAATGTTGTTAAACTGAACAGCTGTGTGCACGTATATCAAAGGCAATTGTACCATTATGACACATGAGCAATCCCAAGTTCTGGACAGAAGAGAAAAGAACAATTTCTTCCTAATTCTGATCAGCACACAGGCAAATCTCAGGGCTTCATTTTTACTTTTGAAAATCTTCAAAGTAATAAAATGCTTTGAAAAGTATTTGCCTGGTTAGTTCCCCTAGGAAATTCACCAGTTTTGCCCTACTGAGTATTCTATCACTTTTTTTAAATAAATAAATTTTAAAGAGAGGCGCTCCTGGATGTCACTTTGAACCAGGCTCCCAATTTATCTTAGCTTCAACATCTTCTATGAGTTCCCTCAAAGGTCAATTTCATGAAGAGAGGAAACACATATGTGTAGACAGACAATGCAGTTATTGTGAACATTGCCTTTTTGCCAGGAAGTTATTTTACTTAGCTAAGTCTAAATTTCTCTACTGAGATCTGAAAGCAATTTCCTCTTAATCAGACTGCATTCTGTGTCTCTGCTCTGAGAAGTGCTCTTTTAATTACTTGGAGACAGCAGGAAGGTTGTCACTCAGTCTCACATCACCAGTCATATTGCCTTTTCTCAGATTTCTTAATTTGTGATCATTCCATATTGTGGAGAATAGGGCAAACCAATTGGTATTGAGGACCTCACGGGCTATTCAACCTGTACTGAAATTAACAAGACCTTTAGCTACTATTCGCTTCCCTGCCCCTACCACCCACTGGAAAAAAAAAAAAAGTTAGGCTGCATATTCTTACACTGCTTTTACCTCTCAGGGTCTATTTTTATTCTTCTCCTTTTACTTAGGCAGGGTTTCTCAAAATTTGGCGCCAGGGCTAATTGGAGTGCTTATTAAAAATGTGTATTCCCAGATGGACAACTGAATCTTATTTGTCAAAGAGTGGAGCCAAAGGATCTACATTTTAACAAGCATCACAGATAACCAAATTGGAGAGCCTTAAAATCTGAGAATCTTCACTGAGTGATAAAGGGCAATATCAAAACCAATTCAGTTATTTTGTTAAGCTACATAACCAAACTGAAGTTTTTGCAGGAATTCACTGTGTTTTCCTATCTTCATTGCCTGTGTTTTTGACTTTCTCTCTGCTTAAATTGTTCTATCCCATCTTTACCTGTTGAAATCCTGCCTGTCCTCCAAGGCCACTATCTTAAAATGCTGCCTTCTTCATGAGGTTTTTGTGATCTCTTGCCTAGTTGTGATTATACCTACCTGTGAACTCCCAAAGCAGTTTATTTGTGTCAGAAATATGTCCCTTTCTTATTCATTCCAGAAAATTGTGAGCAGCTTGCCAGCAAAGACAGTGTTTTCATGACCATTATAATCTTCCACCTCCAAAGTGCACAGTTACTTTGCATGTAGACGAAACTCAGTTAGATTCAACTAAGCTTAGGTGTAAGTTTAGATCTAAACCAGAGTCTAGTGTAGTAAGAAGAACCCTTTAGGCCGGGCGCAGTGGCTCACACCTGTAATCCCAGCACTTTAGGAGGCCAAGTCTGGCGGATCACGGGGTCAGGATTGAGACCATCCTGGCCAACATAGTGAAACCCCATCTCTACTAAAAATACAAAAGTTAGCTGGGTGTGGTGGCACACGCCTGTAATCCCAGCTACTTGGGACACTGAGGCAGGAGAATCGCTTGAACCCGGGAGGCAGAGATTTCAATGAGCCGAGATCGAGCCACTGCACTCCAGCCTGGCGACAGAGTGAGACGCGTCTCAAAAAAAAAAAAAAAAAAAAAAAAAAGAAAAAAGAAAAGAAAAAAAAGATCCCTTTAAGTTTATATATACTATGGTCTTTTGCAAACAATTTTATACAGCTCCATTTTGTTGACTACTGTTTAACTTGTGATTCATAGTGGTTTGCACACCTTGTTTATCTATACATGGTTAAAAGACTAGTGAAAATATTAAATCACTTTTGATGGATACTATAAAACACTGAGCAGACAGTTTAGGATTACATGTAGCCAAATATCTGGCTGGCTATCAGTGTCTTCTGTTTTTAGCACTCTAGGTGTGTGTACTCCAACTCTTAAGAGACAAGTCACAATTTTACAAAGTTCCATTTTACACATTAAATTTCAAATATTTCCACTTAGTAGAAGTGATGAGAAGATCACAAGTTAGTATGTTACAGTGGGAAAGCTGTATGTTTCCTGTTCTCGGTGCTGACAGGGCTGTGGGGATTTTCCTCCAGCTTTTCTGAATGTTCACCTTGTGTCTCAGAGAAAACATGAACATTTGGACAAGAAATAGGATTTTTTAAAGGAAAGTTATGGGCTTCCAAGCTTACATAAAATAAACTAAGGTCCAAGATAATCAGACCCTTCTGGCCCCTTTCACTTTTTTGCAGTCTTCTTGCAGTTTTCTCCTAGAGAGTGTGCCCTATCCACTACTCCACACGATTAATAGCCTGTGAAAAGGGAGGAGTAAACCAACCTTATGGGGTCTGGTAGAAAGACCAAGCATGGAATGGAAAATAAAACCAGTTATCAAGGCCTCACTCCAGGTTCTGGCCGGAATTGTTGGTATAGGTGGCTACTCTATATGGTGTGATTTTAAGGGACCGAAAATCCTTATTTTAAGAAGAAGGAAGGTAAATATTCTTTCCCACTTGGTTTGGGCCTAATTTCCTTTTTTCTTGAGGATAAGCCTTTTGTCCTATAGAGTTTAGGCTGCAAATGCCAGACTCACACCTTTAAAGATGGGGCCCAGGAACTTAAACTTGGCAAGCTTTCCCTGGAAATGTCAGTACTTCACACAAACTGAGAATTTCTGGAGCATATACAATACATCCCAGTAGATCCCAAAGCTTTTGCATCCTTGGCCTTTAAGCTCAGTTACTATATCAGCTTTTTTTTTTTTTTTTTGTCTTAGTGCTTCGTTGTATTCCTCCACGTTTACCCGTGCTTTACTTATATTTGGGAGCCATTTTCTTCACAATACATTGTCCAAAATCTATAGCATTTCATTTTAAATAGCAACAACAACAAAAATACGGAAGCCTCTAAGCAGACATTAGGGTTTTCAGAAACTTTGAGAAAGAATCCTAATGAAAATGATTTAAAATTTAAAAATTTAAATATTAAAATACAAGTAACAAAAACGAATTGTTGGCCTCTCAGTAATTACTCTAAAAAGCGCACATGGAGCTTTCAGTAATTACACAAAAAAATGCCCATGAAACATTTTATGTCTCAATAACTACACAATTAATTTAAAATACAGGTGTCTCATTCTTGCATTTTAAATGACAGACACTAGACTCTGTCCTTAGATTAAGTTTTGAGGGAGGTATGGGTGGGAGGTGCAAAACATTGATCACTATTATTCCAGATAATTGAAAATAAGCCTCCCCTAGTGGCACAGTTTTATCTTTTGCTAGACTTGTATTAATTTTCTGGATCTTCGTAGCATGTTGCCTCTGCTACTCCTACTAAACAGGATTCTGGTTCTTTATTTCTCAATTTTCTACCATTTTTCCTATGCCTTTACAGTGGATATCATCAATTAGGCAAGACTTTGGAAGAATTTATTTTATCCCTCAATTCAGAAAATAAGCCTCCATGGTCATTGAGCAGTAACGACATGCAAAGAACCAGTATTGTGGGCCTATATTTCTCCTTCCAGTAGCATAACCCTCCTGATTAGTAGAAACAAACCAAGCATTTTGGCAACTTGTGGCTCTCAGAAATATCCTTCCGGTTAGTGACACTGGAGTGTCATTAAAAATAAAGATGGCTGGACTCTTTAAGTAATCTTCCACCAGTGATGACAACTCTGTGTCTGGCACAAGCCACCTGGTTTTGGTGGAAGCAGAAAGTGACACATAATTTCTAATGCATCTCCTACATGGTCTTTTTCTTTTGTAAGCTACTACATTTGAGAACAGAGCTATAATTGTAAAATGTTAGAGTAGTAGGTGGTGCCTTGGAACTATCTCCAAAGGAAGGCATAGGGGTGTGGTGGGGGCGGGGAGAGATTCCTAGATTAACCTTAAAGGCTTGTGGCACATCTATTGTACCCATGATCCAGGTACCCAGGTAATGACATATTCATTTGGAGCTCAGTCTACTCTAAGTCTATAATAAGGATGCCCCAAGTATGAAATATCGAACATCAAATAATAATGTAGGTCCTCATCAGTACTGTTGTCACATTTTTCTCAGATGGCATCATATATATTGATTGGAAGAAAGTGGTGAAAACCATTCATATAGGGCCATTTCATATGGCTCCCTCTGTTCTTCCCACAATAATCTTTTAGGTACTAGATTCACAAAGAGCCACACATTTTGCTCTCCTGTACAAGATGTATAAAGTGCCCTAAAGGACAGCGGAGTTCATTCCAAGTCTTGCCTGAGATCATGTGAGGCCCTAGAGCTTAATGCATGGACAATATTTGAATGGAATGTTACATATTTGTGTTCACTGCATAATATTTTGTTACTAAATACATTTTCAGTAATTTACATTATTTGCAATATTTGGCTCATTTTTGGTGACTCCTTATTTCATAGGATAAAAAGTAACACAATTTGATATTGGGATCTAATGAAGGAGGACTAGCAGGTCAATGTCTGCTTTTGTTTTTTGGCCTTAAAAACAGAAATATATTATCCCTTCTTTTCTTGTAGTCTACAGTTTGAGTTACAAATCATCTAGGAAACTGAGAAAAATCCCTTCTTCCCGATCTTTCCAGATGTTCTTGCAGAAAGACTATGGACTTCCATTCTGGGTTAACTCAAAGGACATAGTGCTGTCTCCTACCTAAAATTAATAGACTAGTAAATATCCTGCTGGCAAAAGTAAACTTTCTGGACCTTTTCAGCATAATATCAGTAACACTCAGCAGTATTTCAGAAGGCAAAAACAAATTCATATTTTCTCTTTTTATAAAATTTTGACAATCGCCCTATTTCCTTTTTAATACGTTAAATAGAAAGACTTTCTTATTTTAGACTGACATATTTCTGCAGTTGCCTTTATCAGATAAAGGTTGAATTATCTTATTAAGTTGTGTAAAATCTTTCAAGTGTCCACACTGCAATGGCCTAAAAAACCTAATATTCTAAGCCTTGTTCTGCCTTCTAGCCTGATTTATTATTGCACCCTTTCAAGTGCCCTAGGCTTCCACCATGCCAGACTGTTCTAGCACACAGCATGTACCTCGATGTCTCTGTCTGACTTTAACTTGAACATCCTTATTTTCCAGCTTCCCAGCAACTCTTTCTCACCTTGATGGGTGGGAAAATTCCTAATAGGAGAATTTTGATTATCTAATTTCTTCCCATAAATCTTCCTTGAATCATTTACATTGGAATTGGCCCTTCTTCCTTTAAATTCCCATAGCATGTTGCATGTACCTGTGCCATAGCCTGATATGGTTCAATCTCTTTGATGGTATAGATAGTTGTCTACACAACCACTAGATTCTAATCTCTTTGAGAGTAGGGACACTGTCCTATTAATTTATGCATTCCTCGCAACAATTAGAATAGACTTTTACTAAATGTCCATTAGTAAATCTATAAGAAACACCTGCTAAACAGATACTACATCTGTCCTTGTATGTTTACAGAATCATTATTTTAAATTGTCCATTTCTGTATCATCTTTGCAGTAGAGCATTTAAAGGCCATTCAAGTTATAAAATCTAAAGGCATATTTAATAATTTTTAGCTATTGTTTTACTTATTTGATATTGGCCACTGAAAAACATTTACATTTGAAACTTTCAAAGACACTTTTTTTAAAACCTTTTTTTTAAACTGATAAATGCATTCAGATTTTTTTTCTTTACACCCTTGTCTCTCCTCTCCCCTCAAGCCTATCTGCCGGGAAATTTGCTCTTCCTTACTGGTCACCTGCCAATGGATAAAAATAGGTGCTTTGAACACTGCCCATTGAACTGATTAGGATTTCCTGCATGGTTTCCCCCAAATAATCACAATGTGTTCACTTAAGTGTTTGTGAAGCAAACTGAAATAACTTTAATAACAAGCAAAATAAACCACCCCCTTTGCAGCAACAATGACCCCTCTAGCTTCATGTCCATTTAACCTTTAAAAAAATCATCCAACTAGAAAATTACCATCTTTACCTGCAATCCATGAGCTAAGGCAGAGTACACAACTCAAAACACAGTCATTGCCTCATTTAAAAATCTCAACTCTTGTGGAAATACATTTATGCAGCCACATTGGATTACAATCAAAGAAAGTAAAAACGAAAGCAAGTCAGTTGAAGAAAAAGCATCACCTCCTCTCCACACACACGCACCAGAATGGAGTAGACCACACTTCTTTGTGGCAATGTAGTGCTATTTTTATT
Organism: Homo sapiens; assembly: GCF_000001405.40. Classification (NCBI taxonomy): domain Eukaryota; kingdom Metazoa; phylum Chordata; class Mammalia; order Primates; family Hominidae; genus Homo; species Homo sapiens. Next base: position 79,161,843 of record NC_000023.11, on the reverse strand, counting down.
TTCCCTATCATAGCCTGCTGCCTTCATATGGCAGGAAATGACAAGTCCCTGCCCACCATAGCTAAAGGACTTGGCAAGTACCCAAAAATATGTTGAACAGACACTGGCCTCCAAAACTGCAGTTGAGAAAAAGTAATATTTTTAAATTAAATTTACCTGCTGGTTTGTTCCCTTTTATTTGTGCCATGGGCTAATTGTTTACCCCCTACATCATTATTTACTCAGAGAGTAAGGCTAGACTCCTGAACACCAGTGGCCCTATGGAATTAATTTGGGCTAGGGTGACTTTATATGTAAGTTAAGCATTGGCTTGCTATTTATTTATTTCTAACTTCCTTCCCTTAAATGTATGGTGTGAAAATCTAAACAGAGAAAGTATTTCTAAACCATAACTTATGACCATAAATAAAAGAATTGTTAATAAATGTTATTTGCAATTTTTTTTACGATTTTATTTCATTAGAGTGAAAACTAAGCAACTAGCCAATTCTTGAGATTGATTTAAATCAAGTTCAATGTATTTTTTGCCTGTTTTCTTTGTAAAATTTAAACAAGTGTTAGGGTAATGATGTTTACCTCTACGTCATGGCAAATAGCTTGAGTTCAGATGCCCCTTCGGTGTACCTACCAACCTAAGTATTTGTCAGGTGCAAAGAGATTAGAAACATAACTCTGACAGTTTGGAAAGCCAATTGTTTGTTTCAGCAATTATATCAGTAACAGTTTAATTACAAATATGCAATTTCTGGTTATTTTTATTTTAAAATGACCATCAAGTGGTTATGTACTTTCATCATTTGTTCTGTGATAGGCCTCTAGTCTACTTACCTACTTAACTATCTATTTATCTGTAATTTAGACAAGCTTTTCCAGATGGGATCAAGGAAGGTTAAAACAAATAGCTAGCAATCTTAAATGGAAATTTATCTAAAACTGAGACACTCCTATTGCCCTGCCCTTCCTAACATTAGGAACATCACTGATACCACCAATAGCTCAATGTTTCAACTCTGAAGTATTCTTTAATTCTTCCCTTCTCTCTTCACTGCCTTCTATTTAGACTTCTACTGAGTTTGTCTGACCTTCTCCGTAATATTATTCTGATTTAACTTGTGTTTTGCCTATTTTCTTGCTCTATTTACCTGAATTATTTAACTCTGAAAACCTCTGTAGGTATGCTATCATCACATTCCATATACCACACCAAGGTATACATCTTCATGAAATCTCTTTAGCCTGAGACAATGAGTAGTAATCTTCATTTGGAACCTCTAAATCTGAGAAAAGTTACCCAAGAAACACATCCTACACACCACACACACTTAGTACTTTCTATATTTCATAAGTGAGTTGAAACTTTTAGGACATGGGATTCCCCACAGTGATATTTTATTTAAATAATAAATTTATTAAAAAGCAAGAATCCAAATGAGTTTGTCTGTCCTAACTTGTCACTTTGAAGGTCTATATGTGTATTTCAATTTTTGGAATTCTCTTTTAGAATTACACTCAGAACATGCATCATGTTCTTTAGAATAATTTTACGGGTGACAAATCTTTGATTTTTAAGGGTAGATAAATTATTGGGAAACAATCAAAAGCCATTCATAGCCAGTCTGAACAGTGAAGTTAGAGATCAAGTAGAAAAAAAAGGCCTTTTTTTGTTCAAAAGCATGATATGATGACATTGTTTAAAGACTCATTTTTCTTGATCAGCTCAAACCCATTCCAAAGACAATTTCAAAGAGTATGAGAATATTTGGTGAAATACAGCATCATTAAGATAAGCATACAGCCTTGTGAGGTCACTTTCAAAATGATGACATTTATTTGAAAATATAAGTTGTGCTCTTTACTTAAATTAGTCATAGACTGAGAGTGAAAAGTCTTGAATTCTTGTTCTACCTCTGCAATTGAATGCCTGTGTGATCCTGAGAGAGTCACTTAATTTCTCTGGGTGCCCATTTCTTCTCTAAAATAAGCATGTTAAACCAGATAACTTTTAGAGGGAATTTTAGCTCTAATAATTTGTCACTTTACTTCTGAGTTTTAAATAGCCTTGGTTCTCCATGCCATATGCATTTATTCATATGTATGGGTATATAATATTAGATAATATCCAAATTTTTGATAAATAATAAGGCATGATTTATAGTAGGCAAAAAGAACATGGACTCTAGAGCCAGTCTTACTGGATTCAAATCTTGTCTCTGCCACTTCTTAGCTGTGAGGCTTTGGGCAGGTTATTTAAACATTTCTGTGCCTCAGTTGCCTCCTCTGTTAAGTGAGATGATAATAGTACCTACCTCTATGAATATTTAATGAGTTAATATTTATAAAGCTCTATAGTAAGTACTATATAAATATATAAAATAAACTAATTCTTAGCATTTTATGCAGTGGAAGATAACTGTGTGCATACACAAACGTTGTGGCCAAGGGCTGAATGCTATCTAATGTATCCAGGAAAAAATAATTTAATAAATTTTCATGAATATCTTTATACATCTATGAATAAATGTTTTGCTGTTTTGGTTTGTTTTGTTTTTTGTTTGGTAGTAGTAATGGTTGGGTCTCTCTCTTTTACTCTCTCTCTCTAACTAGACATCATACCTTGATTAGGAATTTTCATGTCTATTTATAAATGAAAATGCACTTGAATTTCCCCCAGTTAATTTGAATTTTGTATCATAACAGGATTGCAAAGATGAACCAGCAATCTCATCTGTTAATACCTCCAACAGAGGTATAGTACTTCATTTTAGCCAATAGATTGTTACTTTTTTCTATGTTTAATCTTTTAAAATTTTTCTGGGTACATAGTAAGCATACATATTTGTGGGATACATGAGATATTTTGATACAGGCATGCAGTATGAAATAAGCACATCATGGAGAATGGAGTTTCCATTCCCTTGAGCATTTATCCTTCAAGTTACAAACAATCTAGTTGCAGTCTTTACATTACTTTATAATGTACAATTAAGTTATTGACCATAGTCACCCTGCTGTGCTATCAAATAGTAGGTCTTATTCATTCTTTTTAACTGTTTTTTTTTTTTTTTACTCATTAACTTTTGACAATAGAAATATGCCACTGTCGGCTGGGTGCGGTGGCTCACACCTGTAATCCCAGCACTTGGGCAGGCTGAGGCAGGTGGATCACGAGGTCAAGAGATCGAGACCATCCTGGCCAACATGGTGAAACCCCATCTTTACTAAAAATACAAAAATTAGTCGGGTGTGGTGGCACATGCCTGTAGTCCCAGCTACTCAGGAGGCTGAGGCAGGAGAATCGTTTGAACCCGGGAGGTGGAGGTTGCAGTGAGCCGAGATTGCGTCACTGCACTCCAGCCTGGCGACAGAGCAAGACTCCATCTCAAAAAAAAAAAAAAGAAAAAGAAAGAAAGAAAAAGAAATATGCCACTGTCTGTGTAGGCTACCCTACCTAACATGAATCACTAACATATGAATGTTACAAAAAATATGGTTCAGACAGGTGCCTAATTTTTTATCCCTGTCTCATTGAGCTTTCAACTGTACTCATCCTGATTACGTCAGGGGAAAGGGCTCAAGTGGTCTTGAACAGAGGTTCATTTCCCTTTTATGAGAAAGTCTCACTAGAAAGAAAGACTGGGGTGGCCTAAAAGGTATAACAAAAAAAAAAAGAAAAGAAAACAAATGGGGTGGCTTTAATTTGGCTTCCAGATACCCAATAAACCCATATATTAGTTTGGTGCAAAAGTAATTGTGGTTTTTGCCATTCCCTATATTAACTGCAAAAACCACAATTACTTTTGCATCAAACTAATATTAAATACTTGGGTTACACATGAAGGGGATATGTGCGCTACAGGAGTTTTATTAGCTGGTAGAACTCTGACCTCCTGGTCCGAAGTATAACATAATGCTACAATGGTTGAGGTGTTTTTTTCCCCCATGTTTAGGTGAACTGTACAGTCATTTTGTTCATGATTTTTCAAACTAGGCTCAAGCACTAGACATGTTCCTTTACAATGAGTAGATATCAAGGCTTGTGCTTGGGCAACACACTTCTTCTAAAAACAGGCATCCAGACAAAGAACTAAAAAGTAAACAGAATAAACACTTGCTGCTCTGAATCTGCATCTTCCAAATCTGCCCCTAACCTGATACTTACCAATCAATAAATAGAAATTTGCCAAGCATTCAAGTGATTCACCTACGGCTACTGTAATTTTTCTTTTCCACAAACAGCATCACCTTTCTCAACATACACACATATTACAATATTGTATGCATGTAGAGTGGCCGGTGGGTGCTGGATGAGATTATATTACATAAAAGTTTAACATTGAAAGCATTTATTTAATCTGTGCATAGACTTGCTTTCAAAATGGGAATAAAGGCTGTGTACCCTAGTTTCCCAAATCCCCTTTTGAAGCTAAAAAGTAGGTCAAACAGCCCATAAAATTCAGCACCAGGACTAGTGTTAGATGAGTGAGGCACTTTCCTTGGACACAAAATTTAAGGGGTTGAAAAACAACTCAGTAATGAAGAGAAATAGTATTTCAATGCAGTATTTTTGAAATTGAAATGAATGGAAATATTCACAGTAAACAAAATGTCAAGATAGTAAATAAAGACAGGATCAGTATGACTGATTTTTTTTCTCTGTCTCAGGCAAAAAAGACTCAGCAGAGCACTATTGAAAAGAATGCCACATTTTATCAAATACTCCAGAAACTACAGCTTTTCGTGTTCTGTAAGATTGTATATCTTGATTGCTAAAACCAGGCTATTGCTTGGTAATCTATCAAGTAGACCAGCAAATGTGCAACAGGTGGGTAGCAAACGCTCTAATTGTCTGTACAGGGCCCACAGGGTAAAACAGTATTATTTTTAGGAAAGATGCAGAAATAGAAGTCAAGACTGTATTTGACTACCTGCTGTTTTCTTCGGTGCTGATGGAACTTCTTGATCAGAGCAATAGGGTCTCCTGAGGAAGTGTTGGAGAATCTGGCACGATTAATTCATTCATGCCTTGAAAAACATAGAAAAGCAGTGGTCAGGTGCAGCATGGAGAAGATGCTCAGAGATGGCTGGGAAATTTCAGCAAGTGGATGCTGAGATCCCAAAAATCAATTACCACAGGAAAAGGAGAGTATAGAGAGTTACACTTAGTCATTAGTGGTAGCGAAGTAGAGTGAGTGAGAATCTCTTTAGCATCTGACATCTCTTTTTGACATGGCAGCTTTCGGAAAGAGTGAGAGAAGGTAGGAATGTCGGTGGAAAAGTTCATGTGTCACTCCCTGGTCACAAGGAGCCCTTAACTATGGTGAACTATGTTAGAAAAATCCCACAGCCTCTTGTTAAACTCACAATACAGTTGAAGGGTAAAAGTTGTCTTTTTCTCAATTAGTGATCTTTTCTAAATAGTTGGCATGACCATAACTGTTTCATTGATTATTAAATACATATGGAGGGAGATCCAGCTGGCCAGTGGTTGTCAGCACAGCTCATGCTAGGAGACAAATTAATTTCTACACAAAGCTGCCTTACATGTACCCTTAAAATGCTTGTAGATAGTTTCTTATGTATGGTGATTTAGGGACACTAAAAACCATACCCCAGCTTCCTCTGCTCTGCTTTACCTAATGATCACTTGCCCAAGCTTGTCACCTTGCCAGAAATGTCCCATTATGGATTCAATCCTTTAAGAAACTATGTGTCCAGGAATCTACTGATAAAGTGAAAATACTACAAGAAGGGGTTACATATTAGCCTATTAACTGTAATCAATCAGCTAAGCTAGATTTTCCTTTAGAAAGTGGAAGAAATGAAATACAAAGAATACATTTTACTTGGTAGAATGAATTAAAGGAACATAGAGGGGGACAGCCTTAGGTGGGTAACATGGTAGGATTACCTGAGATGCCAGATCATAAGGGTTAGCAAAGGATTCTGCAAAGGGAAGGATAAGGCAGGAAAGACAGAGGGAAGGCATCCAATGAAATATTTTCCACCTACGCAAATTTGCTTCAAGCTAATCCTTTTAACACGATGATTTTTATTTAGAATGATAACTTTTGAAGGAATCCTTTGAAAGAGACTTGCGTTCTAATGCCAGCTTCAGTTGAGTAATCTTGAACCAGTTGTTTTGTTTCTCTCTCTCTCTCTCTTTCTGTTTCTTCCTCATGTAAAATGAATAAAATAATAATGCCTACTCCTGGGGAACATTGTTAAGATTACATGAGATATCATAAGTAAAAACCAGTAAGCCAGGGCTTGGCACATAACAAGTGCTCAATAAATACTACATATCCTTTTCTTCTTTCCTCTAGCACCTAGTAAATAGAGTACTAGACACATTAAAACTCCTTAATAAATCCTTTTAAAAAGACCTGATGAGGAAAAAATAGTGATCAGGATTAAACACACAGTAAAGTTATTTTTAAATTATTTTTTGTCCTTGAGAGAGGGTAACAAAGTGGGAGAAACAGACCAAGTAGAAGATGAGTAACCAAAAGGCAGGTCTAGAGGCCCAAGAATCCAAAGCAGCTTATCATGGGGACTAGGAAAGAAAACCTAGGCAGTAAGTTACAAAGTGACAAAGTTATATTCCTTGCTGGTAGTTTGTTGTTTGTGAAAACAGAATCAGAACAGTACCACTTTAGTGTGTCAGATATGTGAGATCAAACTAGAGTAACAGTCTGCAGGGACAGAGTTTAGTGACTGAGCAGGGTCACAGATTAATCATAAACACTAGACAAATGTGGCTGGCTAGAAGCAGATTTTATTGAAATCGTGAATATTCTTAGGCACTGTTTAATTTTTAATCATTTAATTTGTTATACTTTATGGACAGGAGTCAGGTGAGATATCAAAGAATGGATTTTGTTTTAGAGAGTCACTTCATTATTTTTTTTCCAGGATAGCCATATACTTCAAAACTCTTCTGCTTTACTTGAAAGCTTTTTCAACTCCCAAGACAAGTCATTTAAGCTGAGAGAAACAGGGTGTATGGAAAATAGCACTAATCAGAGACATATGACACCTACCTTTTAGTCTTGGCCTTATCACTAATTAGTGGTGTGACCTTGGGAATGTCCCTTCTATCTCTTGACCTCGGTATTTCATCTGCGGAATGAGGGAGCTACTAGATTATCCCTGAGGTTACTTTGTGCTCTTACAGTCTAAGTTTAGTAGAAAGTTTGAGTAGACAGATAGGCCCAATTCTTGATAAATATTGGGGAATATACAAAGAATCCCTGTGTTCTTCCTTCCCAGTGCATTATCCTTCAGGCCTGACTGAATCCTCACACCACAAGTTTAACTGCTTGGGCTCCATATCCAATCCAAGACCCATAGTCCTAAGCAGACTTTTCTAGTTGGCACAGATTTGTTCCTCTCACAGACTACTCCCCATCAAAATATCCCTTATAGCGAGTGTTTCTACTTTTATGCTTAAAACTATTGCGATGTGATAAGTGGATTTAAGCTAATGCATTAATGAGAGAGAACTAGAAGATAGTATCCAGGACATTCACAGGGAGTGTGCAGGGATTTTCCTAGCAGCCTTTCTTAAGTAAAAACATGGGTACCATTGCAGATCTAGACGTAAAGGATCACAGTAGCATGAAAGGAGAATAGGGGAGAGGTTATAGTCAGCTTGAATTCCTCATATCATACACTGGAGCCTTTTCAACAGCCTATGTATGGAGTAATTCAACAAGCTCAGTCAGCGCATATTTAATGAGCACCTTGGGTAGCATGTCGTATCCATTGATAAGTTCAATGGTGATGTAGATAATGATTAATGAGGCTTATAATATTTTCTCATTTTCTGGAAGAACTGATTCAGCATTTTAAATAAAAATTAGACTTTATTAATCTTGATTAAACCTTCACTAATTTTGTATTAATCTCTATGAATGCTCTGCTGTTTTACAAGCAAGGTAACTGAGGCCCAAAGAAAGTAAGTAAGACTCATCCTGAGTTATATAACAAGTTAATGGCACAATCAGAACTAGAACCTAAGTTTTAATTCAAAAGGCCTTTGTTCATTTCCTCACATCACACTTCCTCCTTACTACACATTCTATACTATGTGTGTAGCTATTTCTCTTTCCTTCATATGGTCAGACTATCTAAATGTAAGCTTTATGTTGTTAAAGACTGTCAATTTTTTACATCAAATACCAGTGTACAAATCACCAGAAACAAGCGTCCCTTTGTTTTTTTCTACAATGGTATAGAAACCAATATTCTTAACTGTATGCAGAAGAAACCACAACCTATTCCTGTCCGTTCCCCATCTCTCTCTCTAACTCTACTCTACCCCATATAGAAACACAGATATTCTCTTTACATTGAGTTCATTCATTTCTGCTGGCATTCAAGACTGGAAGAAAGTGACTAAAATAAGACGAATGTTATTTTTACTCTTTGGCCCATTTCCTGCTGCTCCAGTTTGCTAAACTATCAAGCTAGGACAAAAGAATGGAGTGATGAGATGAACAATACCTTGCTGTAAATCAAATCATCACGCTAGATATCACAGAAGATAAGAAGAAATGAGACATAGCCCCTGCCCTGGAAAATCTAGCAGAAGTGACACAACAGAAAAAAAGAGAGATGTGTAAAATCAGTTGCTAAATTGGGCAGGTCAAATGCTAAGCTTTGTAGAAAGCTGCCATATATTTAGAGTAGAAACATACAACAGACCTTAAAGTGGTTGGACTATTCCATACAGCATTTCTGAAAACAGCGATTCACTGATCCATAAAAGTTATGCCTCTCTTTCTCATTTATTCAGCTGCAAGCCTTAGAACTATTTTGCTCCTCATAAGCACTTCAATCTGCAAGCTTAACCAGGCATAATGCTGACATGTGCAAAGGGAAATTTGTCAGGTGAAAGGCAAGTACAACTCAATGTTCCCAGTGTGATTTCAATCCAGTAGCACAAGGTATTTTGCAAATTGTACAGAGGAGCTCTGGTAAAAGAAATACAAAGTACCTGTTCAGTATCTGCATGGTGATCCATACCCTTAAGAGAGAAGTGTCCTCAATTATACCATTTTCACAGATAGAGAAACTGAAAAATGAGGGAGCTTAGTACCTTCTTCAGGTTTATACTTCTAGTCAGCCCCAAAGGAACATGAGTTCAAACTTGTGATTGGTGCCTGTTGAAAGCATAATTTAGAAGAGAGTTTAGAAACTGATGTCCCAAGGTTCTTCCTCTATTTCCTCTTGGAGAGGGAGCACAGACAGAGGAGGTGAGTGTGTAGAGAGCAAAAGAATGTGGTGGGAAATAATTAGGATTATCAGGAGACAGACAAGCCTAAAACTTTGTTATTGTGTTTTTGTTCTTTTAACTCAAGATTCGATAACTCACTGGATCAGATGGTTACCACACTGAGCTCCTGAACTTAAGTATGCGATTAGATTCCAGTTAATTCTCTCTGTAATGTAGCTGCAGAGTATGCTCTGAAACAAGAACTCCAAGTCCTTGATCCTAAGGAAAAAGCTTACTCACAAATATAAAAATAGCTCTATCGTGTTTTCTGATGGTTGATGTGTAAACTTGATTTGCATATGAAGGATCCCATGTATTCTCCCAAATTCGAATTCCTTATAGCCAGTATAGAATGCACTAGGAAGCCAGCAAACAAGTAAACACATAAATTAATCTATTGTTGCAGACCTGTTTAGGAGAGCCTCTGTGTACAATTTTTTGAGCCCTTTCCTTTTGTTGATATTAACTTGCATCTAAAACCACACATTGTGCTCTAATCTCTAACAGAGGCTCATATCTGGAGTTCAGAACCTTTGTTCTTAAACCTTAGCATGCCATAAATTAGATTATGTAGAATAAAGCAAAAATTTTAATATGATTTTCTTTTTACATTATGTCAGCTTAAGTATAGATGCATGGTGATTCTGTTTAAGGCAAAAAGTTCCATGAAGTCACACACCTTCTTCCTAAATCTCTTTTGTATAATCAGAATTAATATGCGCTAGCTTATCCTCCTCAAGTAAATAAGCTCTAAGAGGGCAGGGGTTATATCTTGTAGAAACAGTAAACACATCATAAAGAATGGTTGAAGATAAATAAAACATTTAATTTTTGCTTTTTACAATTCTCAATTTTATTCATTTTATTCCCTATTCCCCGCCTCCTTTTCCTTTTCACCTAGCCTAAATCCAATAAAAGGACAGCCTGTTTTGAAATGGGTACATCTTGACTTCTTCTATTACCAACTCTCTTGATTCTCAAGTGGAAAGGGACAAGATAGTGAGTTATAGCTTCATCGTATAGAGACAGCATAACATAAAGAAAGAGCTTTGACAATCAACAGAACTGGGTTTGAAACTCAACCAAGATAGACATGTTTATTGCATAGATTGTGGTGGTGGTTTCCCAGGTATATATTTATCTCCAAACTCACCAAGTTATATATATTAAATATACACATCTTTTTGTATGCTAATCCTTCCTCAATAAAGTGGTGTTGAAAAAAACAGTTGTATATCACTGGGCAAGTTATGTAATTTCTTGAACATTAGTTTCTTAATCTGTAAAATGGAGAAAGCAAATGTAGTTGTTGTCAAAATGATGTAAGGCATCTTGCCCAATCCTTAGTATATCGTTAAGTGTACAATTTTAAAAATATATATTACTTTTGATGATAGAACACTAAAAATAAAAGAGCCAGTAGTAGATAAGCTCAAAAAACCTGCTGAATCTTAGATTCTGAGTAGCTGCTTATATATTTTACTGCTTTTTCTAGAGTTATTACTAAAAATATACTTGATTTAGAATAGAGTATAAGCTCTACAGGGAAAAAAAATCCATATCAAGGATGGTCTGAATCTGATGCTGACCCTTAGTTCATGGTGAGACTTTGGACCTGCTTTGAAACTCATGTACAGAACTGTGAGAAAGCTCTGGAAACTCCTAAATGTACGTCCAAAATCCGAAATCATATTAGAAAACTATTATTTTCCCTTTGCTAAAGAAACTAGACTGAACTCCCGGAGATGTGGGAATAGGAAAAGGCCAAAGGCTCAGAATTCCCCATGAAGAAAATAAAGTCATTATGCTTACGAGTGAGACTGAGCAAACCAAACCTAATTTTCATTCTAAAATAAATTGTTACAATCTAAATATAATTCCTCACTCAGGAAAGGGTTATATGAAGTTAAATTTTTTATTTTGAAAACAAATTTTTAGATATGAAACCAAATCAATTCTATCTTTTTAATTAATGTGCTGAAATTTTGCAGAAAAATATAAAGAACTGATCACCACTTCTTAGAAGTATTTCATATTATTTGACCCAATATGACAAGTGGGTTAATGCATGCAAATGTTAAATAGATTAAATTTAAAATTTTCAAAGCAACATCATACAGTCTTTAGAGGGTCTATATTTGGGTGATTTACTATTGATTTTCATTTCTATTGTGTGTCCAAAATTTTTCCAATGAGTGTCCAGGAGTGTCACTAAATGAAAATTATGAAGAGAAGATTGCATCTCTATGTATTGTATTCAAGAAGCCCACACAACAGAGGTTCCACAGCATTTGAGCAGGGGCCAGCCTGATTAACCACCATGCCCATATTCTTCAGATATTGATTTAGCCTATAGTTTTACTCTGGCCATTCATGTTTGGCCCAAGTCCCAGTCAAGGAATAACTTATAACCTGGGGTGATCAACTTTAATAATTTTTCTCTATTGGACTATGTCACAGATATTTTCAAATTTAATGATTCCCAGAGATCAGTTAGTTTTAAAATTTCTGAGTAAATGTTCCCCTGGGAAAGACCTAAACAGACACAAAGATAATATTTCTTAATGTAAAATTCTTAAAACTGTAACTTAGAACTAAATCAGTCATTAACAAGTAATTATACATCAAATATAATCCAGGTTATAGTCTCTATTCTGAAAAACAGCCCTTTTCTCTCTGCAGGTTACAGAATGTCCTCATAGTGTTTGCTTAACCAAATTTCATGGCAAAAAAAAAAAAAAAAAACTGAGGGAGGTTTAATCTAGTCTCCATGATCGAAAGAGCCTTTCAGCAAGATGTCAGAGCAAAACTGGGTATCCCCAAACCCAATATATGATCACTCACTCAGGATAACTTGGGTCACAAATCTTCCTTCCCTAAGTAATCTGGATGGATTATCTAGACCAGCCACTTTACAGTCTAGTCTGTTATATTCATACTCTGCTTCAGCTAGGTAGAATTCTCTTTTTAACCCTAATAAACTTTTAGAAGTCATAGCATTTCAGAGAGAAAGGTATTACTGTACCAGATGTCTTGATATGCACTGTGACTTTTGATACAAAACTCTATTTCTAGGGTCAGTAGTTCTTCCTCAGAGAGACTAATGCTAGGTCAAGTCACTGAACTTTCCTTTGTTAAATTGAGTTAGTTTTATGAAGTATTACAAAATCAGTACTACCTAGCTTTAACCCTAACTTTCTTAGAAGAGAGAGAAGTCAACGGATACATTTATAAGGTATAAAAATAAAGGGGAAAAAAAGGTAAAAATAAAAACAGATCCCAATAAAAACTGGACCAAAGAATACAGAAGCAGAATGCTATTGTCATAAGGATGTGGAGAAAAAAGTCAAAGAAATATGTCTTTAGAAAATTAAATGAGTAAGTCCTTCAGTATGAAAATTAATAGGGGCCATGAAACTATAGATTAAAATAAAATGTAAATTTAAAAAAATAGACTCTGTGGGCTCTTTCATCTCATAATATATTTTGCTCATAATATTTAATTGTAAAAACATATGTGAGAAATAATAAATCAGTCTATCTTCTACATGTTATTCATTTTTCAGCACACCATTTGGCCTGACACTTCAAATAGAGTAGACACCTAAAATAACACACTTTTAGTTTTAAAGAAGTAACTTATAGGTCATCAGTATTACCTAAAATAGATTAAATACTTTGAACAGTAAAGGATTTCATCACTGTCATCCTATACTTAAGTTGTAAGAATTATTTTATCATACAGAAATATGTCATTGGGGCCAAGTGCAGGGGCTCACACCAGTAATCCCAGCACTTTGGGAGGCCAAGGTTGGGAGATTGCTCAAGGCCAGGAGTTCCAGACGAGTCAAAACCCTGTCTCCACAAAAAAAGTACAAAAATTAGCCTTGCATAGTGGTGCATGGCTATGGTCCCAGCTCCTTGGGAGGCTGAGGTAGGAGAGTCATCTGAGTCCGAGGGGATAAAGTCTGCAGTGAGCTGTGATCATGCCACTGCATTTCAGCCAAGGTAACAGGGTGAGACCCTGTCTCAAAAAAGAGTCATTGATTTATAAGAAATATCTGGTAACATGTGATTAGCTTATAAGAAATACTGAATCTCATCTGCCAAGTAAAGCTGAAAAAAATTTTAGCTAAATAATAATAACAATATTAAAGCCTTTCATCGTTGCTGAGAATGTACAGAAAACCTTATTTTCTGCCCTAAGTAGTGTGACATTTTGTAAAAGCTTTTTGAAGAAACAAATATTATGTCAGGAAGTAGGAAAGGAGTTGATGGGCACTTTTGACTTGGTGAGATATTTGCATATATTTTAGGTTTCCAGTGAGATAGTATTTATGCTATCCAAGACACAACTGAGTCTGAATTGGCAACCCTGGCTCCCACGGTGGGCACAAGTCATGCTTCCGCATGACCCACATAACTGAACCTGATAATGGTTAAATTTTAGTTTTCTCACTAGATAACTAAATGTAGTGAACTTCTTGACCCATAACCAAGTTGCAGAGTCTATACAGACTTGATTTTGGCTAATATCTTGCATATCTGATTATTTGTCAGGAGCTCTGTCTGCATCTTGATCTCTGGCTGCTGCTAATGCAGCTGTTGCTGCAAAGGAAAATGATGCCTCTGGAGCACACTCTTTACCTTTCAAAGACTATACCAGAAGAACCCACTTTAATTTTCAGATCTCAGATAGCACTCGGTTATATGACAAACATTAGTAATATTCAAGCCACTAATTACTGTATTCCTTTTCAGGATTCACATACTATCACTTACTGTATATATTTATCTTCCTCACACTCTCACCTTAGTTGATCAACCGCATATGTCTGTTTCTGTCAGACAAGATACCCTAAAATCTTCACTGCTTTCTCAAATCTGGAATCTCCTAGACCTCAGGACCTCCTGCATACTCTCTCTTGTCTAATGAATTGGCTGTATTGTTGCTCTGACACTCAATACAGCACATACACTTCCAGTACATGGCCAGGTCTTTGTTAATCTTGTATTACAGCATCTAGTATCAGTTTGCACTTTGGGTTTTTTTTTTTTTCTATGAGCACAGTAGGAAAAACTCTTTCCTATTCTTGGAAGGAAACAGTGGTAAAGCCCAACAACTCAAGGTCTGTTACAATATTAGGGCCTTTGGGAGAAACCTGAAGTGTGCCTGTTATTGAGAGATTCTTGAATGCTCTCAAAATGAAATCTTTTAATGTTTCCCAATGAATAATGCATGTCTCTTAATCCACAAACCCTGATAGTCAGCAAGGAGAAATGAACACAGCACTGGACAAGGTATGAAGAGACCTGGATTCTACCTTTGTCTCTGTCACAGACAGACAGAGATACTTGACCCAGTCACTTCACCTCTACGAGTCTCATTTTTTCCAACTGCACAATGTGCACTATGAACCTACTTTACTTCCCAAAGCATAAAGGTCTCAGATGTTTGCCATTGCTCTGAAAGTGACAAGGGCTGAATCTGTTTCTGACAATTTCTTATTCTCTGACTAGGGATCTAGAGACTGATTCTTGAGACCTATAGCATAAAAAGAAGGTTTTGGGTGGGGAGTCACTTTAATGGGCAAGGGAAGAGGCACCGTCTGTGCCCTGCTTGTATCAGGATTGGGTGGAGATCAGGAAAAGGAGTTTACTTCCCTTTTTGGTTCTGGGTAGCTGATTGGTGCCTAAAGTATCTATGAGCGGAATGCAGAAGGTGTGTTTCTTTGTCCTCTTCCTTTCAGTTACCTAGTACAAAGGGGCATAATGAAGTGCATTCATTCCTAGGGGTCTTCAGGTGAAATTCAGTGACATATTGGGAGCAGTCTATGACTCATTTTATGTTTATTCATCTTTACATTATTCAGCATCGTATTAATCTGGCCCCAACAAAATAAGTACACTAGGTGGTTCCTGTCTCACACAAATATTATTACAAACATATAACAAAGCAAAGCAGTACATGTGTTCACAAGTGCAAAGCACATTATCTGTAATTAAAAGTATATCCTTCTTGGACACAAACTTCTTGGCATATCCAAATGTTTGCCAGTGTGACTGGTATAATCTTGCCGTGGGTGGAAGAACTTTAATCCTCTCTATAAGTTTAATGTTTTTGTGTTTATATCTGATATCTACAGAAGCTAAAGGAAAAACAAAATACTCTTTGCTGAATGATCCAAAGCTCTCTAAAGCATATAGTTCTGCTTATTGAATAAAACTATAACATTTTCTTTTATGAAAAGTTTTGAGCAGTATAAAATAAAGTCCATGTACATTACTGTTGACAGGAGACAAAGGAGCAGCAAAGTTATTTGAGATTTAATCCTGGGTCATATTGTACCACATCCCTCCTCATTTCTATCTCTCTCTCACATAGGAATTCATGACTTTTTTCTCTTAGTCTCTGAATGCAGCTCCTAGCAGTTACACACCATTTATAGTATCATCATATGGTTTAAAGTCAAAAGGCACTGTCCTAAACATTTTCTCTTGGAGCACAAAACAGAGACAACACGCAAACAAGGAAATAATTTCACTTACATTTTGTCAAAATAAGTCAATTTTGAGTATCTAGAAATGTAAATTAAATTCAAAATCATTTTAACCATTGTTGATTTTTTTAATGTGCTGATTACTTACTATCGTAAATAGAGCTTATCTATGAAAAACAGAGCAACTGTGCCTGTTATCTTTCTTATTTCCTCTTTCTCTCATTATAAACAAGTTTTCTTAAACGTGTTTGAAAACAGAATCTTTATATCTATCATTAATTACAATAATTAACTTTTACAGTGAAAATAAGTAACTTACACAAGCTGATAGGAACATGCATTTATATTAGCTAAGGTCCTGAAATATTGTATCTCTCATTTTTCAAATAACCATTCATTTTGAAAAGGACACAAAGTTAACCAGTTTAATTATGCAGCAGATAAAAATAGCACCCCCAAAGAGTTATAGCAAAGAGTAGATAAAAATTATCCTGCACCTTTATGTAAGCAACTCTACTTAATACAAAACAGGTTAAATTGCAAATGTTCACAGGACTATTTTACTCAATATCAAATGAGCTAAACACATTATTAAAAATCTCTCCATGTCAAACTTATATTTTCCCAAGTTTAAAGTTGCCTCCCTCCTCCGGCAGCCCGTCATACAATTATTTTTGTTTGTTCAAATACCAACGAAATGACATTTAAGGATGGTCCAAGTTCATTATATCCATAACCATGCTTAGACTTGACAAGTTGTACAGTTCCTTGTGTGAAGAGTCCAGTTCTAGATACTAAGGGAAAAACGCACAGACGAGAGCTAATTATGCATAAATAATTAGAACCTACCATTTCAGTTTCTTTCTGTTTTCTTCAGAGATCTCCAAAGAATTCATGTGATGGCCACTCCAAAAAGGATGCTACTGATTTGTGCATCAATTTAGGCTGCCTGTTCTGAAAATAACCAATCCAATTCTCCTTCACTAGCAAAAGGAGAAAAAAAAGAAAGAAAGAAAGAAAGAAAGAAAGAAAGAAAGAAAGAAAGAAAGAAAGAAAGAAAGAGAGAGAGAGAGAAAGAAAGAAAGAAAAAGAAAGAAAGAGAAAGAAAGAAAGAAAAAGAAAGAAAGAAAAGGAAAGGAGAGGAAGGAGGGAAGGAAGGAAGAAGGAAGGAAGGAAGGAATGAATACAGGAGAGAAGGAGGGAGGGAAGAAAATAAATAAAAGTAAAAATAATACAAAATAAAAGAAAGCCAAAAGAAAAATTATGAAAGCAAAAGGAAAAAAAATTAAAATTATCAGGAATATCTAACCACTATCATGTTGAAAAGCATAGTAGTAAGATGTCAGAGTGAAATATGCAAGCCACTCTCTGTGTACACTGAACATTTCCGTTTTCCAGGGGGCAGCCAGCATGCTCTTTTGCTTTCATTCTCTCCGCCCCCGCCCACCCCCGTTAATGATGCAGGGCTACACTACAGGCTGCATGTAGAGCCTGCAAAGCTTCACACTTAGGAAAAGAAATTCTCCTTTCTATTTCGAGGGCCACAGTGCATTGTCTTCTGTGGTTGCACTCAGCTTTGAGCTCATGATAACACACAGCCTATTTGCCTATGGAGTCCTTTGCTGCAGCTAGGAGCCCTCGAGTTGCTTGCATAGATAGTGGGCCACCGCAATCTTAGGGTGATCCTTTCTCACAGCCTCTCACTTGCATTCAGTTATCAAAGTGAACATTCTCAAGAATGTTCCCTAGAAAGCTGCCAATAGAAGAGGTGAAGGTGAGCATGATCTCTGCCTAGGGCATTCTTGAATACACAAACTTCTGAAATTCTGACATTGAATTAAATACCCCACTCCTTAAGAAGAATCTGGAGCTATAATCCACCTTCCACTTCCTGTCCACCCACTTCCCATTACCCTCAGGGTCCCTGTTACCAAGAAGTGCAGGTAAACCCCCATTTCTTCTCAGTAGTTAGGTAGGATCCAATGAAAAGAGGTTGGTTTTCTGCAGCCCAGACCCATTGCCACAGGCTCTTGAAGATGGTGTTCAAAGGAGTCCCAGAGTTCCAGACCCCTGAGACCAGTGCCACACTGTATTAGGCACCTAACACCCCCCTCCCCACTCCTAAAGGTAGATGAACAGGAAGCAACTGGAGGTAATACCTATGATTTGGGTAATATCTCTAGATAAGAGTAAAGGGACTTTTCACATAGGCCATGGAAGAAAAAACATGTTATTGCAGGTACAGTCTCATGCCAGGACATACCTCTGTGGTATATTATAGGGAATACCTGGAGGGCTCTCCACCTCAAAATATCACCTCCACTTTGCCTGAAACACCAGTCCTCTAGAGGCAAGAATTTCTTTCTTCCTGAAGTCTTGATTTTAAAATTCTCATTCTCCTAGAAATATACTTATTTGAAAACCTTGATGTGAATGAGTTTAGAACTGTAAAGGTAAGAGTACATGTTGAGAACAGGATATAAAGGAAAACTGAAGAGATCCAACTATGGGAAAACTGAACTGCCAAAAGCAAAATAACAATTTTGTCATAGGCTAGCTTTAGTGAGAATTGTCTTGAGCAACTGGAGAAAAATATAAGGGGAAAAAGGTTTTTTTGTTTTGTTTTGTTTTGTTTTGTTTTGTTTTGTTTTGTTTTGTTTTGTTTTGTTTTTGACAGATTCTTGCTCTTTCACCCAGGCTGAGGTGCAGTGGTCCGATCTTGGCTCACTGCAACCTCTGCCTCCTGGGTTCAAGCAATTCTTATCCCTCAGCCATCTGAGTAGCTTGGGATTACAGGCATGTGCCACTACTCCCGGCTAATTTTTGTATTTTTAGTAGAGATGGGTTTTCACCATGTTGGCCAGGCTGGTGTTGAACTCCTGGCCTCAAGTGATCCACCTGCCTCAGCTTCCCAAAGTGCTGGGATTACAAGCATGAGCCACTGAGCCCAGTCAAAGAGTAAATTAATCTAAATGTGTATTGGGCCAGACATGTTTACAACAGGCAGAAATATATTGCCCTGGCATTGTCTTCTGATTCTGTGTGTCGGGGTCTGGCAGATGATGTGGGTAATATTATGTTTGTTTGTTTACAGAAATATTTTTTCAACTTGCCTTAGTGTGTCTAGAGTTTATTGTGATGTGCTCTTTCCTCACACAGCCTTAGCTCCATTCAGCAAACATATATTGAATAACTCTTAAGTGTAGAGCAGTGGAACAAATTCAACTGGGGAGGTGAGAATAAAGGACAGAGTGGCAGAGGGCTGATGGCAAAGGAAAGGATGCCATGTCCCAGAAACTCTTTAGAATCCAATTAAGCAGGTTATATATATATATGTATGTATGTATGTATATATATATATATATATATATATATATATGTGTATAATGCAATTGCCCCAAATATAAGACAACATGAATATAATAAGGGCCTAAGAAAGTCATATCTAGTGCTGTAAGATTTCAGAGAAGTCAAGGATCTCAGAGAGCTAGAGTAATGAGTACAGTTTTATTATAGAAGTCAGGCAAGTCTTCCAGGAGAAGAAGGGTTTGGGCTGGGCCTGTTAAGAACTACAAGATTTTAGTAAGCAAAGAACAGAAATATTATTTGTATTTATTTAAACCCATAGCTCTTGCCACGCTTTACTGGCTCACCTCTTGGTATCTTCATTTTCCTCCTGATTGCTTCCACCAAATAAGCTTTGGATGCAGGCATGTCTTTCTCCTTTTGTGGAACACACATCTTTTGAATTTTCAGCCTCAGATAGAGCTCACAGGAGCCAAATTGCATGTGTTTTGAAATAAAACACCCAGTGGTGAAATTCCCTGAGTGATACTGCTCTTATCTTTTCTATTTAAGTCAAGAAGCTTGAGCCTGACTAGAACCAAAGGAAATAATCCTATAGGAACTTCTGAACTTTCACTCCAAGTTGGTTCAATTATAGCATATCAGAGCTGAAGGGGATATGAGTGATGTTATAGTCTAAGCTCTCATTTTAAAGATGAAGAAAGTAAGAAAGAAGGAACCCAGTTCAAGTCTCACAGTTAATTAATGATGAAGTTGGGATCTGAAACAGGGTTTTTTGACTCTTAAGAGAATGTTTTTACCAAAATACTTTCCATCTGGCCAATGTCTCATGGCATCTATGAAATGGTGATTTATTTGTAGTTACATTATCTGTGGCGAGGGTTTTCCTTTAGTTGCAGAGGCAAGGTCAAATATTAAATGGACTCAAAAACTATACTTCATGGCTCTGCATATGAAGTATATGCATGGCTCTGCATATGAAGAGCCATGGCTCTGCATATGAAGAGCCATGGCTCTGCATAGGAAGAGTCCATTTAATATATATATATATATATATATATATATATGCAGCTTATTTGGTGGAAGCAATCAGGAGGAAAATGAGGATACCAAGGGGTATATATATATATGAAGGAGACATTTTGACTCATTTAGATCTTCTTAAAAGATCTAGAAAAAGAAAAAGAAAAAAGAAAAAGGTTAAGCCTTCTTAAATTAAGAATAGAGACCCAAATAATTCTTTTATTCTTTCCCCATAGAGCAACTCCAAAATATAAAATATATTAAAGTGGAAGCAAAGTAAAAGTTTCAGCTCTTAATATTGGTTTGAGGAGATAATTTCCTTTATAATGAATGTTTCATTATTATTTAATGTTTACCTTGTGATTCTAAAATTACTAGGTCTCAAGTTGGCTTCTTTGTTATACTGTAAATAAAAGATTACATGGTACAGTATAGATTATGATTAATGTAGTTTTTCTAAACATTCATACCATCAGGCCTACAATTTTAAATACAAGGGATCCTCCCATTCCAAGAATTTTTAATATTTTTAATAGTTATGATTTAATCATGACTAAAATTTATTTAGCATTCTATAATATGCAATGTGCTTTATGTCTGGCCTTGCAATTGCATAGAATTAACTAATCAACATCAATAAAATATAAGAGTGCTACAATTAAAGGATTAAAAAACATTTTAAAAATCAGTTATTCAAATTATTTTGGGGTGGGAGTTATGAGTTAAAGTACTAATTATATTCATTCCTTGTTTAAGTAAAATACTTTTTTATGAATGACAAAGGTATTTTATGACCTGAGAGTTGGCAATGTGCCAGGCATTGTGTTTGATATGAATGTGTTTTACAATCATTATTTTATTTATTCATCAAAACAACTCCATATTTTAGGTTTAATTCTGACTCAATTTTATAGTTGAAAAAACAGGCTCAGAGATGTTAAGTAACTTTCCCCAAATTACACAACTTTGATAGTCAAAAAAAAAATGCTCAGTATGGATTTGGAGTTGTGAAATTAAGGAGATTTCAAGCCGAAGAACTTCACTGCCGATTCTCAGGTTATAGTGATACCTTTGGCAAAGTACAATACTGCAACTGAATTTTATTAATCTTTATTATTTTAAAAATCAGAAAATAAAGGAAGAACTTATTAATATAGATTCAGCAAATTCACAGGGCTAAGAGAAAAATCCCGTCTTGGGATGATGGGGTTATGGCAGCATTAGAGAGATCGTATATTTCTCAGTACCCCAATTTCAAGCAGTTACAGGGTCGACCACCTGGTTAACTCCCTCCTACCTTGCCAGAGTTTTCCGTTCTATCTGCTACCAGTATGTTTTGTTTTCCCTTAGGGGATAGTCTCTGAATTGATTACAGAATATGGTGGGAAACAGAATTTATTTTGCAGAAATATACTGAGTCTAGGAACAAAGTGAAGGGGAATGAGTGGAAAGTGGTTTCTTTACCAGATAAAAGCTCCAGCGTCCAAATGCAAAATGCTACTTTACTCAAGATCATGACTGTTTGCAAAACAAATGTAGTAAATTTTAACTTGTTAATTTAATTTCTATTTTTATGCATAAGATAAAGGAAGGAATAAATGGTTCAAAATACAGTGCCCAAAATAAAAATTAATGATGTGATTGTATGTTAGGGCAAGTATGCAGCCTGAAAGGAACCTAATTTATTATTGGAAAAATGTCCAGAATACATTATACTAAAAATTATAGTTTAGGTGCAAATGAACACTGGATTTTCCAATCAAAAGTAACACTCGGGAATAGAGCAAAGGAGTGTTGTTTGGATCTACATAGTAAGACAAGAATCCAAGCCAGGAGTGGTTTTATTTTTATTGATTTTAAGTCCTTACAATTAGCAATAAGCAGAACTTGGTGACAGGAGATTCAGCTGGGGCCCACAAAAGTCACTTTATACAGCCTGCATTCCTGTATGCACATGTGGACAAGGCCCTATAGAGAAAGAAACACTGTTATGAATAGATAGAGTGGAAGGTCATCTATCACACACAATAAAATACTCAATGCAAGTGTTATAACCCACAAAAACCCACTCACATACCTGCCACTGGTTTGAAAAGCTAATATTTCAAGTGTGTTCTTTTTGGCTATTCCCCTTCTGTGCCCTTTTTGCAGAAGTAAACTCTGTGGGGAAGGGTAAATGTGTAGCCTCAAATTCCTCATTAAGGTTTTATTTTATTAGGAGTTAGTGTAACTTTATCAGGTAAATCCACTCTCAGTAGAGACCCTGGCAATTTCAGTACAATTAACAAGAAAGGAATACTAAAGAGAAATGAGAAGAGTATGGAAAAGTATTTACCACACAATTTTGTCTTAAGTCAAACATGCTGACCACATTAGAGACTTGTGGAATATTGGAAGTAAAAGGATTCTTAGACATCTTACTGGGCATAGATTTTTACTGGTGAGCCATGCATAGACTTCAGACGGTCCTTGAATCCCTGAAAGCATTTATGAAATCTTGTTTGCACTCTTACACACATTTTTCTTAAGAGAAAGTTCATAGTTTTAATCAGATTCTTAAAGGAGTCTGGGACCAAAAACATGTTAAGAATCACTGGACTAATGAACATTGCCACCTCAGACTCTCTGCTATCAGGAAGTGCAACCTGGCAGGAAGGGCCCAGCATAAGGGTTTATCAGATAGTAACCCCCCGAATGGTTACAAACCGCTGATCTGTCCAACTTCCTCATTTTACAGGTGATGAAATTGAAGCCCAGTGAGTTACAAACCTTGTCCAAATATGGCATAATCAGAGTTAGTTCAGTGTTAATTATTTTGAGAGATGAACTCTGATATGTACATCTTTCTAATTGCCTTGATATTTCTTCTGAGAGTCACCGTAGGTGCTAAAGTGAGTACTTCTTGTTTTAGATACAGGCTTATGCTGGTACTTTCAGATCTGAGTAAAGGCAGGAGAGGAAGGGTGATAAAAAAAGGAAAGAAAATATTGACTACATTGGCTGTATCCATGATATTTAATGTAATTTTAAGCTTAAAAAATCTCAAATTGTACAAAAATGTTTGAGTGTGTGTGTGCATATGTGTGTGAAAGAGAAACTCTGTGTATGTATTTTACTAAAAAAAGTTCTATTGCTACCATAACCTTCTTTATAGTACATGACCCAAAAAAAGTTAGAAATTACTGACCTTATTTTAAGATAACTAAGGCCCAGAGAGAAGACACCTGCTCATTTTCTATAGCTTGGAAGTGGAAAAGCCAAGACTAGAACCCAATCTCTCAAATTTGCTTTGGTGGTATTTATGTTGTCCCAGACAGTCTCTTTCTTCACTACCGTATCTCTCTAAATAGTATACATTTTGGTCTTTCCCCTATTTAATATTTGGGAAAGGATCTGATCAGATGTCCTTAAGACTAGAGACACCATTGACAAAATACAGAAAGGAGTTTTTAAATAATAAAGGATTTTCAAATAAGGAATATTTTAAAGGGGCTTATTTTAAAAGCCCTTTCTGTATTTAGTCTATGGTGTCTCTAGTCCTTTCTGTTCAAGGAAGCCTTTTGAGCTCTAAATCATTCCGCTGATATATTTTCAAATGACTCTAGCCACTATTGCTGGGGTAAAATGTTTAAGCTACATAGGTTAGGTTTTTAATTATAGACACTCTAAAATGAACTCTATTTAATTTAGACAGAAAATGATTAATTAAAGATTATTAGATAAATCAGCAAATCTCTAGGAGAGACAAAGAACCAAGCTTAAATGCCACACAGACAGGAACAACTTAGCCAAGGTCAATGCCCAGTCATACCATGAGAGTATTCTAGCAACAACACTGGTATGGTCAATATCCACCACTCAATACTTATGACATTTGGGAATGCATGTGACAGTTTTCCCAGATTCTCTAAAGGAATGAAATGCCTCAGTCATAATTCTTTCCAGAATATTCAATCTTCCCATAATGGCTCCAGCCTCATATTGCTTTCTTCCATCTCCAGGTATCATAAATATTTCTTCACTTGACCAAACCTGAGTCACTTGTTGTATGTCAGATGCATATATATATATATATATATATGCGTATATATACATATACGTTTATATATATATACATATATATGTATATATATGTATATATATATAGTTTATGTCCATGTAATGTAGATTTTAGTTTTTCTGACTTAATAGTACAAGAAGCCAACTTAGGTGTTGAAATGAGTGTTGGGGACCCAATATAGAATGTTTTCCATGAGAGCTAAGATTGGTCAACTCTGTTTTACATTGCAGCATGTAACAGGAGCTGGGATTAGTGGGAGAATAAGAAAATCATTCAAGAAAGAATTTAAAATCAAAATTGACTTGTTGAGAACCCTAGGGAACTCCCAAACCATCTACCTTCATAGTGAATTAGTCTGATAGAAAACTTTTTGGAATTTTAGCTTAAACTTAATAGGATTAATAAAATAAATATCCAAAAAGGTAAAATAACTTAAAGCCATGTCTGCAGTCCTTAAATTGGAATATCTGTTTTTTTAATAATTGTCTGTACTTCTGCATGTGCCCATAAAGAATTGATTGTGTCAGTGGGGCATGGTGGCTCACGCCTGTAATCCCAGCACTTTGGGATGCCGAGGTGGGCGGATCACGAGGTCAAGAGATGGAGACCATCCTGGCCAACATGGTGAAACCCTGTCTCTACTAAAATTACAAAAATTAGCTCAGCGTGGTGGGGCATGCCTGTAGTCCCAGCTACTCAGGAGGCTGAGGCAGGAGAATCACTTGAACCTAGGAGGCAGAGGCAGAGGTTGCAGTGAGCTGAGATAGTGGCACTACACTCCAGCCTGGTGACAGAGCGAGACTACATCTCAAAACAAACAAACAAACAATTAAAAACAAAACAACAACAACAACAAAACAGAATTGGCTATGTCAGGAATGTAAAAGATGAAAGAGGCAGAACCCCACCAACTCACGAATGCCTGCCTGGTCCTGTTTCAAAAGCACAGTGAGGTAAAAATAAATTAACAGAGGAAATAGAATGGGGATAGATAATTAGGGGCTATGTATGAAGGGAATACAAAAAGACTGAGAATTGCGGAAAAAGGAAGAAGAAAAGATGAATTAATGGTGGAGATGGTGAACAGACCCATTTTAGCCAGAGTGAAGAATAAGAGAGGTTCATAGGCAACATTCTCTGTATATGTGCAGAACTCTAAAAAGGGACAGATATTCTTGGATGACCAAGGAGGTAGAGCTGACTGTAGGCTACAGTGTATTGATTTTTCTGCCTTGTACCCTAGCTCTGACTTAAAGGGGCAGAGGTCAGTAGATTTCAAAGATGCTTTTTTTGGGACATACGGAGGTGAAGTATTTCATAGGTATAGTCTCCATATATTACTTAAATACAGTAGAAAATCAAGATTGATCAGGAATAAGCAATTCTTCCTTGGGTTAGAGAACTGGACTAAGTTGCTTCTATTGCTCCCTTCTAATCTCAAGGGTTTGCTGAAGCTCCTTTTTTTGGGGAAAAGGAAATTAATTTGAAACTCTCTATTAGAGTAAAATAATCACTCCCAAAATAGCTATTTATATTTCAAGTTTTATGTGCACATCACCAGTCTCCAACTTTAAAATCTGGAATGCACCTACATGTTTTGAGCACATTTTCCCAGTGTTTTTGCTTTGGAAATTATACTCAGCAAGAGATGATATCTTTGATGTTGACCTGCTTTCTAATTTTTATTAGATCAAAGCTACTTGAAACCATTTATCAACATTTATTAGCATTTACCATTTTATTTTTGCTTCCCATCACGTATTAAACAAAGGTCATGTCTAGAGACCTAGACAGAGCACAAACTCAGTTCTTTTCTGTTAGCCCAACAAGATGCTAGTCCCACAGTAGTAACTAAGATGCTTCCCTTACCCCATGTAGGAAATAGCTGAGTCCATGGTTTCCCATCCCAAAAGGCCATGCTTTCTGTCAAGTTATTAATCAGCTATTCAATAGGGGAACCCCAAACCATCTGCCACTTTCTGGAGCCTCCCCATGTATCCATCTCATCACTGTTCTTTTTGTTCTGTTTTCTATATGTCTTCTGTGAGAGAAAAAAATAGTAGGCACTCTAATTCACAGGGATTATTATTACATTGACCCAGTCATCCTTTGCCCAACCCCAGATTTCAGTCAGGACTCTTTCATATGCAAGTGATTGAAATCCAATTCAAATTGAGTTTACCAAACAAAAATGTGTAGGCTCATCTACCTAAGAATTTCAGGACTTCAAGCATTGCTGGATTCATGTGCTCAAACAATGAAAACTGAAGTATGTTTCTTGTCATATCTTGTCTCTTATTTCCTCTGTCCAATAACCCTACAAGATAGAGCAGATTACTGTACTCTCTGTATACATGAGGAAAATTAAGCACAAAGCATTTAAATACTTAGAGGATTGTTCAAGGTTATAGCTAAGTAAGGTATGTATTAGATACCTTCCATGTTTTCAGACCTACATTGTATTCCAGTTGTTGCTGGAGCAACCAGCTGCACACAGATATAAGCTGACAACACTATGTCTCAATTATACCATGGGTCTCACTTTTTGCCTCAGTATTTCTCTGTGCTACAAGAAAGGCCTACCAACAAACTTGGAACTGTGATGGAGCTTTGGTAAGTTGTATCATTGCAGATCCAGCAGGATCTTAACAAGGGCTGGCTACGGTAAAATGGACTTTAAATGGGAAAAGTGTCTTGCTTGACTCTCATATCAAAAAAAAAAAAGTGAACGATCACTTAAAGAACAGGAGAGATGTGGGTAAGCAGTATCGCATGTAGAAAAGATTAAGTAATTACAGCTGACTCTTAGCTCAAGCTCAGTGAAAAATGATCAATAGCCACCAAAACCCACAAAAAACTAAATATTACCTTAGTGTGTATTAATGAAAATAAACTGTCTAGAACAGTGGAGGTAACAGTTCTATTCTACTCTGAGATAGTCAGACCACTCCTAAAATAGCTTTATGAAGTTCAGGCAGCTATACTTCAGGAGAGAATACAATAAGAAAGCATCAAAAATGGTTTAAAAAAAGTCTTTACAAGATAAAATAGAGAAAAAACTGAGGATGTTTAGTGTGTAGAAGAGAAGAATATGGGAGTTTTGAATGGAGCATGTCATAATTACCTATAAATAATTAAGTGTCTGTTAGACTGTTAGACAAAATAATAATAACATCTTATTGAGTAAGTACTATGCACCAGCTACAGAGCCAAGTCCCTTAATGTGAGCAGATTTATCAACACAATCCTAAAGGGAAGAATTAGAAGCTGTGTATACAAACTCCCAAAAGACATATACTTGCTGAATGTAAGAAAGATCACTCAAATTATTATTTTTGTCAAAAGCTATTAATAACAAGGACAGCATAGGTGAGCAAATACTTTTCCTTCTCATGAACATATGAAAACAGAAGCTAGAGTATTTATGATTGGGATTGCTATGGACTGAATTGTGTGTCCCTCCCCCTAATTCATTATGTCGAAGCACTAACCCTCAATGTGACTGTATTTGGAGGTGGGGCCTTAGAGGATGTGAAAAAAGTTAAATGAGATCATAAGGGTGGGGTCCTAATGTGAAACAGCTGGTCGCCTCATAATAAAAGGAAGAGGCACCAGAGTTTGCTTGCCTGCTCTCTCTCGTTCGCTTTCTCTCTCTCTCTCTCTTCCGTGTGATGACATGGTAAGAAGGTAACAACCTGCAAGCCAGGAAGAAAGCCCTCATCAGAAAATGAACCCTGCTGGGACATTGATATTGGACTTGCCAGCCTCCAGAACTTTGAGAGAATCCACTTCTGTTGTTTAAGCCACCCAGCCTATGGTATTTTGCTGTGGCAGCCTGAGCAGACTAAAATAGCAATATCATAGAGAGATTTAAGTAAAGGAAGAAAATTTAGGCTACATCAAATTCTCAAAATGTTTGAAAAATCTCTGGGGGATCCACAAAGGCAGGACTCCAGGCCATCAACTCAATGGGTTCCATGTTAAAATGTTTTACACAGACAATTTTTATGTAATATTTTATTTGAATAAATAATTTGAATAATTTTAAACTATTTGAAAAAATAGTTGAATTTATTAATCTTTTTTATCCTTTCCAAACTTGAAATCATATGGTCATATAGCACAGTGGCTAAAATTAAAGTGTCTAGAGTTCTACTTGTATTCCAAACTTGGTTCTGCTACTCATTAGCTCTTTGATCTTGGACAGACAATTTAACACCTCATTGCCTTATTGTCCTCATTCGTAAAATGTAGATAACATAGAATCTACTTTAAGGAGATGTCATAAGGTATAAGCAAGTTAATATAAACAAAGCACTTAGGAAACTTTTAATACATGTTACTTATTATTAACATTATTGTGTGAAAAGCTACCATATTAGTGTGTAGGAATTTACAAATTCACTCTGATTGTGATTACATAGTTTCTCATTCTTCAGTTATCCATCACTAATATAATCTCTTTGCTACCATATACAGAGATCTCATCACCTTCCTTCTGAAAAGGACAAGACATGCATTTCAGTAGCATATGACTGTGAAGGAACTAAAATAGCTAGTAATTCTAATGCTGGATGTATCTTTATTGGGGAAAAGTAAGAAAATCTACTTTGCTTCACTTTCTTTCTATATTTGTATATATTCACCAGTGTGATGTGTCTTAGAAAGGACTAAAGAATTCCCTTCAAACCATTGTCCTATCCCTGCCTATTATTCTTTCCTGTCCCACTAATTGGAATTCTACTACTTCGGTCAGGAACTGTTAAAGTATGACATGCAGGCCAAATCTTGCCTTTATATACCATAAATAATCTGTTTAGAGTATACAGTTCAATTATGTTTACAATATTTACAGAGTGATGCAACTATCATGATAATGAAATTTTGGAACATGCACAGAAGGCTAAAAATAAACCATAAGTAGTCACTCCCTATTCCCCTCACCTTCCCACTCCTGGACAACAACTAATATACTCTGTCTTTATAGACTTGTTTTTCCATTCTGAACATTCCATGTAAATAGAATCATACCATATGTTGCCTTTCTGTGACTGAATTATTTCACTTTTGTAATGTTTTCAAGGTTCATCCACATTGTGTCATGTATCAGTACTTCGATATTTTTGTTGCTTAATAATATTCCATTGTATGGATAAACCATATTTCATTAAATCATTTGTCAGTGTATGGACATTTGAATTGTTTTCACTTCTGAATTATTATGAATAAAGCTGCTGTGTTAGGCCATTTTTGCATTCCTATAAATGAATACCTGAGGCTGGGTTATTTATAAAGAAAAGAGATTTCTTTGGATCATGGTTCCTCAGACAGGACAAGAAGCATGGTGCCAGCATCTGCTTCTGGTGAGGGCCTTGGGAAGTTTATAATCATGGCAGAAGGTGAAGGGGGAACAGGTTTCTCATATGGAAAGAATAAGAGCAAGGGTCGGGGGAGGTGCCACACACTTTTAAACAAGCAAATCCCAAGTGAACTCATTTATCACCCAGGGGACGGTGCTAAGCTACTCATGAGGGATACACCCCCATTATCCAAACACCTCACACCAGGCCCTACCTCCAACACTTGGGATTATATTTCAACATGAGATTTGGAGGGGACAAATATCCGAACCATATAATTCCACCCCTGGCCTCCCAAATCTCATGTCCTTCTCACATTGCAAACTACAACAATCCTTTACCAACAGTGCCCCCAAAGTCCTAACTTGTTCCAATGTCAAGTATAAAGCCTAAGTCTCATCTGAGAATGATCCGCTTCCACCTATGAGCCTGTAAAATCAATACAAGATTTTTACTTCCAAGATACAATGGTGATATTGGCATTGGATAAACATTTCCATATCAAAAGGGAGAAATCAGTCTAAAGAAAGGGGCAATAGACCCCATGCAAGTCCTAAATCCAGCAAGGCAGTCATTAAATCCTAAAGCTCCAACATAATCCTTGACTCCAGACTGCATCCCTTGTTAGATTTGAGTGTCTGTGGCTTTTAGAGGCAGAGGGTGCAAGGTTCTGGTGAATCTACCATTCTGGGGTCTGCAGGACAGTGACCCCCTTCCCACAACTCCACTAGGCAGTGCCCTGGTGGGTAGTCTCTGTGGGGGCTCCAGCCTCAAATTTATCTCCAACCTATGAGAGCACAACAAGGGCTTCAGCCTGCAAAGCTA
Source organism: Homo sapiens (assembly GCF_000001405.40). Classification (NCBI taxonomy): domain Eukaryota; kingdom Metazoa; phylum Chordata; class Mammalia; order Primates; family Hominidae; genus Homo; species Homo sapiens. The sequence continues at coordinate 79,131,492 of NC_000023.11, read as the reverse complement.
CAGAGGCGAAGCTGCCCAAGGCCTTGGGATCCCACCCATTGCACTAGTGTGTCCTAGATGTGGGACATGGAGTCAAGGATTATGCTGGAGCTTTAAGATTTAATGGGTGTCATGCCGGGTTTAGTATTTCTGTCATTGCTTCACCTCTGTGGCAGGCTTCTGCCTGAGCACCCAGGCTTTCTGATACATTTTCTGAAATATAGGTGGAAGCTACCACGGTTCCTTCATACTTGCATTCTGAGCATCTGCACACTTAACACTACGTGGAAGCCACTAAGGCTTATGGCTTGTGCCCTCTAAAGCAGTGTCCTGAGCTGTACCTTGGGCATTTTGAGCTATGGCTGAAGCTGGAGCAGCAGGGATACAGGGTGCAGCCTCCTGAGGTGATGCCCCAGGCCTGTTCAACAAAACTATTCTTTTCTCCTAAGCCTCTGGGTCTATGATGGGAGGAGTTGCCTCACAGATCTCTGAAATGCATTTGAGGCCCTTATCCCATTGTCTTGGCTATCAGCACTTGGATGTTTTTGTTATGCTGATCTCTCTAGCAAGTGGTTGCTTCACAATATACTTAGACTCTTCTCCTGAAAACAGCCTTTTTTTTTTCCTACCACATGGCTAGACTGCAAATTTTCCAAACTTTTGTGCTCTGCTTCCCTGTTAAATAGAAGCTCCAAATTTAAGTTATTTTTTGCTCCCACATCTGAGCTGAGACTGTTACAAGCAGTTAGACCACATCTTGAAAGTTTTACTGCTTAGAAATTTATTCTACCAGACACCCTAACTCATCACTCTTTTTTTTTTTTTTGGAGATGGAGTCTCGCTCTGTCGCCCAGGCTGGAGTGCAGTGGGGCTATCTCGGCTCACTGCAAGCTCCGCCTCCTGGGTTCACGCCATTCTCCTGCCTCAGCCTCCCTCCCGAGTAGCTGGGACTACAGGCGCCCGCCACCGCGCCCGGCTAATTTTTTGTATTTTTAGTAGAGACGGGGTTTCACCGTGTTAGCCAGGATGGTCTCGATCTCCTGACCTCGTGATCCGCCCGCCTCGGCCTCCCGAAGTGCTGGGATTACAGGCGTGAGCCACTGCGCCCGGCTTCTCATCACTCTTAAGTTCAATTTTCCACAGATCCCTAGGGCATGGACAACAGTGCAGCCAAAATCTTTGCTAAGGCATAATAAAGGTGATCTTTGCTCCAATTCCTAGTAAGTTTCTCATTTCCATCTGAGACCTCATCAGCTTGGACTTCACTGTCGATCGACTGTCACCATTTTGATCACAACCATTTGACCAGTCTCTAAGATGTCCCAAACTTTCCCTCAGCTTCCTGTATCCTTCTCAGCCCTCCAAACTTTTCGAACTGCAGCCCTTTACCCAGTTCCAAAGCCACTTCCACATTTTCAGTTATCCTCATAGCAACATTCCACTCCTGGTACAAATGTTCTGTGTTAGGACATTTTTGAGTTGTAATAAAGAGATACTACAGACTGGATAATTTATAAAGAAAAGAGGTTTCATTGGCTCACGGTTCTACAGATAATAAAAGAAGTGTGGTGCCAGCATCTGCTTCTGGTGAGGGCTTCAGGAAGCTTACAAGCTTGGGGGAAGGCAAAGGCGGAGCAGGCATCTCATATGATGAGAGCAGGACCAAGAGAGAGAGTGGGATGGTACACCACACACTTTTAAACAACCAGACCTTGAGTGAACTCACTCATCACCAAGGGGATGACACTAAACCATTTGTAAGGGATACACCCCCATGATTCAAGCACCTTCCACCAGGCCCCACCTCCAACACTAGAAATTACATTTTAACATGAGATTTTTAAGGGACAAATATTCAAACCATATCAGCTGCTATAAACATTTATTTGTGTATGAGTTTTTACATGACTACGTTTTCAATCACTTAATGATGGGAAAATGTTCTCAGAAATATGTCCTTAGGCGATTTCATCGTTGTGCAAAACTCATGAAGTGTACTTACACAAACCTAGATGGTATATCCTACTACACAACTAGGCTATATGGCATAATCTATTGCTCTTAGGCTACAAACCTGTACAGCATGTTACTGTGCTCAATACTGTAGGCAATTGTAATGCAATGGAGAGTATCTGTGTATCTAAACATAGAAAAGGTACAGTAAAAATATGGTATAAAAGATGGCACGCCTCTATAGGGCACTTACCATTCATAGAACTTGAAGGAGTAGAAGTTGCTCTGGGTGAGTCAGTTGGTGATAAGTGAATGTGAAGGCCTAGGACTTTATCATACACTACTGTAGTTT